>NC_000022.11:12275588-12438690 GCF_000001405.40 Homo sapiens
GAATTCCTTCATCTTTTGTTTGTCTTAGAATGTTTTAACCTCTCCTTCATTTCTAAATGAGATCTGTGCTGGATACTATATTCATGGTTGACAGTTTTTTCTTCAGCACTTGATTCTATTATCCTACTCTCTCCTGGCCCATATTGTTTCTGTTGAGAAGTCTGCTGTCAGGCACATTGGAATTCTCTTATGTGTTATATGCTTCCTTTTTCTTAATGCTTTCAGGACCTACTCTTTGTTTTTGATGTTTGAAAATTTAATTATAATGTGTCTTGTGGTTGTCTTATTCAGATTAAATCAGATTAGTGAGCTTTGGCCATCCTAAACATCTTTATCCTTCTCCAAGTTTAAAAAGTTGTCTGTTATTTCTCTGAATAAGCTTCTAACTCTTTTTCATTCTTAGTTCCACTTTAACACTGTAGATTTGTTTTTTTGATGGTGTCCCATGGATCTCATAAGTTTTCTTTGTTCTCATTTTTTTTCTCTTTTCTACTCTGACAGTGTATTTTCAAAGAGCCTGTCTTTGAGCTCACTGCTTTTTTTCTTCTGCTTGATCAGTTCTGCTCTTGATGCCCTGTAGTGCATTTTTCAGTTTGTTTACTGAACTTTCCACCTCCAGGATTTCCATTTGATTTTTTCCCATTATTTTAAATTCTTTGTTGAATTTCTCATAAATTTCCATATTGTTTCTCTGTACTTTGTTGAAGTGCACAGATTTTTTTTTTTTAAAAAAAACAGCTATTTGAATTTTTTTGTCTGCCACATCATTCATTTCCATGTCTTTAGGTTCAGTTGCTCACACCTTGTTTTCTCCATTTGGTGAGGCAGTTTTTCCTAGGCTATTCTTATTTTTTGTAGATGTACATCTCTGTCTACACATTGATGAATTAAATATTTATTTCAGTCTTCTCAGTCTGGGTTTGTTTTTGACTGTTTCTCAGTGGGCTTGTTTAGAAATTCTGTGTGGATTTCCATTATATTCCATTTTAGCATTAGGAGGTGCCCAAAGCAAAGGTTAGACATAAGTCTTGCAATGGGGCTTCACCACTGATGCAATGTAACTGGATGGGCCCATGGGTGATCCACAGAGAGGCTGCTGTCTGTAGGGGGAGAACAAGTCAGGCCATCAAATCTGGACAGTCTGTGTATCATGTTTCCCACAGCGTGATGCCCATAAACAACCTGTCTGGTATAATATTTCCTCTGGTAGGAATGGCTAGCCACTGCTAAGTTTCATATAGTAAGTATTGCTAACCCAATCCCTTCTCTATGTCCCTAGCATGCCTCTGGTGGTTCAGCTCTGTTGACACTCATGGTGCTTCTTGTGGGCTGATGCAGGAGTGAGTCTACTGTGAAGGCACTCCATATGGTGGAAAAAATATTCAACTTCTGCTCACGTTATTCAGTGTAAGAACTGTGGGTTCAGGAGGACTTTCTGCATATAATACCATTATGGCCTGGGGGAGGAGTATCACAGTCACAGAGTACTGTTTCCCTTACTGTCCAAGCATGGTTTTACTCCTCTTTGCAGTCCAAAGGGGCTTCATTGACTCACTCATGTATTCAGGGTTCATTAGCTCTTGTAAAGGTAATTTCATATGTGGATAGTTGTTCATATAGGTGTGTCCGTAGGGGTATGATTACTGGAGAGATCTACTCCACTACCTTGCTCTGCCCAAATCCTTCCCCTTCCCAACAAGAGTTTGCCACCTTCTAGTTTTCTTTTTTCTTAACCAAACTAAGTTTAGCCTTTTAATCCTTCACCCTCCTCCACTTCAAATGCCATTGCTTCTTTGTATGCTTATTGTATTTTCAATGCTATATGACTTTCAGCTGGTTATTTACAATATGTAAGTTTTAATATCCTGTAAAAGGGGGATAATAATGGCATCCATTTGATAGGGATGCTAAAGATACTAAATGACACTGTCCATGTTAAATAACTTTTTGAGATATATTGAGATGTTTTTGTACTTCCTTGTTCTGGCCTTCTTGCTGAACCAGGGGAATCTATTGCCATGAAAATCAATAAAACTGTCATAGTAGAAATTAAAAGTGAGTAGGAACTTATTTAAAAATCATCATTCTCCTTTTCAATGCAAAAATAAGAACTAGAAAATTTTAATAAGGCAATAGTCCGAAGAAATTACTTATGGAAGATAATATGGGTTTTTTAATCTTAAAGGGTTCTTTTATATATTCAAGCTTCGAGATTGGCTGCCTTGAATCCTACTAAAATTTCAGTGTAAGTTTTACAGAGGGAGGAAAGAGTCAAAGAAAAAATTGCACTGGAAAAAGTTAAATAAGTAAGGAAGATATTATTCAAGCTATTGCAATACTGGAGAGAGTCCAGACCTAGTCTGAACTCAGCTCCCCTGATACAAAAGGCCGTGGAGTTTTTGAAAGTGAGGGTAAGGGGGCGATCATAGGCCACCTGTCTTTACTAACTGTCTTTTTTCAAAGGAAAAATAAACTTTCTTTTATCTTTATGATATAAGGTAATTTTTACAACTTGGAGCAAGATTAGGCTCTTACTCTCTCATGGAGACTGGGAAATAAGGTATTATCTTTCTGGAGGATTACGTTTGAAAGGGATGGCTCCCAGATCCTTGAAAAAGGAAGTTTTCTGCTTACAAGTTACACATGCCACTTCTACCTGCATTTCACTGGCTAAACAGGTCAAATGTCTAAATCTGACCCTTCCTTCAATAGGACAGAAATATATAATCTTCTAGGATATAGGGCCACTACAGCAGGAAGACCAGATAGTGGGAGAATGGTAATATAATCTACCACAATAACCACAGTGAAAACATTAGTAATCCTCAGGGTTAAACCAAGTCTTCTTGGACACTTAGGTTGATTCTAGGCTATTTTCAATAGTGGAATAACAAAAAATAAAGAGAATAGCCCATTTATTTTTTTTGCAGAGAAGCTAGACAATTCACAGTAACTTATGGCCTAGACAATTTTATTTCTTGATCAACACAACTCTTTAAAGATGCCTGTGGTCCAAAAATGTGGATTCCTAATCATCCCCAAAAAGAAGGGATCCTCTGCAAGGCAACCTGGGAGGGAGTTTAGGATTGTTCTGAGGCAGTGAAAGCCATGGAGATTCACATGTAAGAGGGTAGAGAAAGGGAATCCACATGTTTTGATCCCTCCATGTGCTGGATATAACTTGGTCTTCATTACATTGCAGCACCTTTGGTGTCAGAGAGAACTGGATTTGAATCCCAGTTCCATCACTCATTATGATTTGATGGTGAATGTGTTTTTAACTCGTCTGAGCCTCAGTTTGCTCATCTATAAATGATGGGATTGTTATGAGACTTGCATAAGGTAAGTGTTTAAAAATCTGGGAATAATCCTGTAATTTAAAAGACGGGGTTGTGATGAGGCTTCAATAAGGTAAGTGTGTAAAAATCTGGACACAATATTACTAATTTTGTAGGTTTTCAATATATAGAGAAGGAGGATTATTTTTATCTCATTTAATTTTTAGAACAAGTTTATAAAATTGGTATTATTCATATTTTTGAGATAATCAAAGGATCAGTAAGTTTAAATAAATCACCATAGTCACAAAGCAGTTCACAATATATTGACTGGATAATTGCTAGTGAAAAGTAGCAATGATGATCACATTGAAAATCTTGTGTTAGGTGGTGGTTTTCTCTTGCATAAGCCTCTTCATTTGTTGAAACCATAGATTCTAAGTTTGCTCTATCAAAGTGATCATTAGAAAAATATAATGTACTTAGTGTATAAATTTTAGAAAATTTCCTTTTTAGTCCTGTTAATTTGATTGAATATGTGCATTTTGAATTATGAATATAAATATGAATATGTATGACATATGAAATATGACTTGACATCAAAGAGTAACCTTAGATCGTGGCAATGTTTTTTTCTGAAAGCACCTGCAGAAATGTATCTTCTTTCTAGTTTCCAAAAAACTCAGAGGCCATGGGGGAAGAGGGGACTTTGGCTGTCAGATAGTGCATGAGGTACATTAGGATGCAGTAATTTCATCATAATTCATATTCATAATTCACAGTGAGGAAACTTGAAAGTTGCTACCAGTTACCAATAAATGAAAGGTGGGGCGGGGTCACTGGGGGGCGCGGCTTTGTGAGCCAGTGCCTGGACTCCCACATCACAAATGGAAGGGCAGCGCGTGGAAGGAACTCAAGGCCTGATTGGTTCTTCCTAAGCAGGACACATCAGGTTGTCAGGGCAACCGGCCTTCAGTTGGTGGCCTTCAGTTGGTGCCTTAAGTTGGTGGCATTTGGTTGCCTTTCCTGGGGAGAGGGGGCAGGTGCTCAGGTCTGCAGATGTGGGGGCAAGCGAAGGCCCAAGCTGCCTCGAGAAGAACAGAGGTGCCCCATGGGGACCACGATGACCAGTCACATGTGCACCAAAGCCAGCCCCCGGCAGGGCCAGCGCAGGGCTTCTGCAGGGCCGTCCTGTGGCTTTGATATCTATGAGTGGGCGGCCAGCACAGGCACAGGCACCAGCAGAAAGGAGCAGAGACGCCCAGAACATGCTGTCCACCGATGCCAGCCCCAAGCGAGGCCAGCTTAGGGTGCGGTGGGCAGAGCCATCCTGCAGCTCCGAGATCCACGAGGTGAAGGTGGGAGTAGGGCCAGGCTCCACTGCGTTGGAGCTCACACAATTTGAGCCCAATTTGATTCCGGAGCCATGACCTGCAGCACATTGGCGACCAGAAGACGCCCAAAGGTAGGGAGGCGACAGATACCGCTTGGCCTCAGGAGCTCCTCTGGCCGTTGCTCAACCAAGGTTCCCCCAGAGACATCCACAGCCTGGGGCTCCTCCCTTCTTCATCTAGTTCCTTTCCTAGGCCCAGGCCCCAAGCCTGAGGACTGGCTCTGCCTGGGGTCTCCATCCCTTCGTCTTTCCCTGTTGCATCCAGCCAGTTTCTTTTCCCCTCCCTACCCATATGCCCAGTTCTGGGCCCTCTTCTTCTTCCTAGAGGCTGGCCAAAAACTAAGTTTTCAAAGTACAAAATGGATGCTACAGATTTCGTTGTTGTAGAGGAAATGTCTCACAGCTCTTTTATTTAAATTTAAGTAGTTCCACTGGGACTCACAGTTTCATAACTTGAGTTCTAGACCAGAGCTCTCTACCCTAAAGCAACAGCAAGGGGTTAGAGGTACTCTTCTTGATTCTAATAATAAAAAATGATTTTTTTGTAGGGACAAGGTCTCACTGTGTTGCCCAAGCTGGTCTCAAAGCCCTGGCCTCAAGTGATTCACCCACCTTGGCCTCCCACACTGCTGGGATGACAGGCAACAGCCACCACACTTGGTCATTGGAGGTGCTCTTGCTTTGTGTGTTTCGGCTGGTCTTCAGGCGCAGCTCTCTGTAAGATGCTCCTGCAGTATAGTTCTATGTCTTTCTGCACAGATTCAGTGGATCCTGTGATTTTTTTACATGGAATAGCCCCTTTATATTTTGCAGAGAAGCTAGACAATTCACAGTAACCTATGGCCTAGTAAATTTTAATTCTTGATCAACACAACTCTTTATAGATGCTTGTGGTCCAAAAATGCAGATTCCTAATCATCCCCACGAATAAGGGGGCCATTGCAAGGCAACCTGGGAGGGAGTTTAGGATTGCTCTGAGGCAGTGAAAGCTATTGAAATTCCCACATGAGGGGGCAGAAAAGGGAATCCACATGTTTTGATCCCTCCATGTTCTGGGTGTAATTTGGTCCTCGTTAAATTGCACCATTTTTGGCATCAGAGAGAACCAGATTTGAATCCCAGTTCCATCCGTCATTATGATTTAATGGTGAATGTGTTTTTAACTCTTCTGAGGCTCAGTTTGCTGATCTATAAAAGACGTGATTGTTACAAGGCTTCCATAACATACATGTGTAAAAATCATGGCACAATGCTTGTAATTTAAAAGACAGGGTTGTCAGGAGACTTCTATCAGGTAAGTACGTAAAAACCTGGACACAATGCCTATAATTTTGTAAGTGTTCAATATATGGAGAATGAGGATTATTTTTCTTTCATTTAATTTTTAGAGCAACTTTATAAAATTGGTGATACTCATATATTTGAGATAATCAAGCCAAGGATCAGAAAGACTGAATAAATCAGCATAGTCACAAAGCAGTTCACAATACATTTACTGGATAATTTCTAGTTAAAAGTAGCAATGATGATTACATTGAAAATCTTGTATTATCTGGTGGTTTTCTCTTACATAAGCTTCTTGGAATTTAGTAAGATAAGTTGCAGCTCAAAAAGCAGATCCGTAGAATATTTTGTTCCAGAGATTGTAGTGGGGGCCCAAGTATTGCATGAGTTTTGTTGGGAACAAGGTGGAGGCTGAGAATCTAAGCAAACTTCAGTTGGTGGTTTTCAGTTGGTGGGCAGTGGCAGAAGGAAGAGGAGCTCCATCTGTGCTCTCTCTTCCCCCAGTCACAGCCCTCAGGCTTGTTGCATCCAGGCCCTTCTTACTTAAACAAGACAGGTTGACAGGTTTATTTAGTATTTAGCAGACAAGTCAGCTCAGGGTAGGCGGGTGAGGTGGGGTGTGGGCTGCTAGTACAGTGCTGCCCTTTGACCCAGGGCTGCCCGTGCCCATGGGGCTATTCCATATATTATATATTATATATATATATATAATATTTTTATATTTATGTATATAAGCCTGTTGGTTTGTTAAAACCATGGATTCTAAGTTGCTCTATCAACGTGATCATTAGAAAAATGTGATGTACTTAGTGTGTAAATTTTAGAACATTTCTTCTGTTAGTCTTGTTAATACTCAATTCTTTTCTAAAACACCTAGCGCATATCTCCATAGGTTTTAATCGAATTATATTATAATTTGGATTTTCTGGTCTGCCTATCTTGCAAATAATAAAGTTCTTAAAATTAATTTTCTATTTCTGCCATAACAAATTACCACAATTTTGTGGCTTAAATCAAAGACTTACGACCCTATAGTTCTGTAGGGCAAACCTCTGACCGTGGTCTTACTGGGCTTAAGTCAAGGTGTTGTCAGGGCTGTATTGCTTTCTGGAGGCTCTAGAGAGAATCCATGTCCTTTTCCAACTTTTAGATGCTGTCCCTATTCCTTGGATCATGGGACAATCCCTCCATCTTCAAAGCCAGTAATGTCGGATGTCTGTGACCATTGTTCTGTAGTCATATCACCTTCTGACTGTAGCTAGGAAAGATTCTCTGATTTTGTAGACACATGCAATTAGATTGGCCCCCAAGATAATCAAGGATAATCCCCCTAACTTAAGGTTTAATCACATCTCCAAAGTCCCTCTTGCCCCATGTAAAGTAATATGGTCACAGATTCCAGGGACTAGAACATCTTTATGGGGTCATTATTTTGACTATCACAAAGGCAAAGTCTTGGACTTCTGCATATCTAGATTTTCTTTGCTTAATTTCAGAGGCTAGAACACATTAGACTCTAAATAAATGTGAATGAGTGATAAATATTATATTTACAGATAGCTGCCACATTACAATTCTGTCCTCCCACTGGTGGTGGAATCTTATGTACTTTTCACCATCTCCATTTTGCATTCAGACTGAACATAGCTATGTTATTCCTTTCACCTGGGTGATTTGAAACCATCTCTCTATTTCTATTTGTAGAGATCTTATCTATCAAGCCCTTCTCAAATGCCACTTCAAAATACTTTTTCTAATCTCCAATTGTCTTAGTCAATTTATGCTCTTATAACAAAATAACACAGACTAGGCAATTTATGAAAACCAGACGTTTATCTGTCACAGTACTGGAGACTAGGAAGTCCAAGATCAAGGCGTTGGCAGGTCTGATGTCTGGTAAGGGCTGTTCTCTCCGTTCAAGATGGTGTCTTGATGCTGCATCTTCCAGAGACAAGGAACACTGTTTCCTCATATGGTGGAAGGCGGGAGAGCAAGAGGAATGAACTCCCTCCATGGAGCTCTTTCATGAGGGCTCCTAAACCCATTCCTGTGGTAGGAGTCCTGATGGTCTCATCACTTCCTGTAGGCTCCACCTCAACACTGTCACATTGTCAACGCTGAATCTTGGAGGAGGCACAGTGAAACCACAGCACCAATCAAGTATGATCTTTCTCCCCTCATGTGTTTAGACCTCCCATGCACTTTTATACGTTGTGTTTCATGGTTTCTTCCTGTACAAATAAGGTGCTATAAATGGATAGCTATAGTTTTGGGTTTCATTTCAACAAAACACCCTTCCTAGTTGTTTGAACCCCAAGAGAAATATGAGGACAGGCCCCACCTTCCATTACAAAAGCTGAAAGGGATTGCATGATCCTTTTTCCAGTTTCTTGGCCATTCACGTGTGGGCACATATCTAGGCCCAGCCAACTGATGGCTCTTTATTAGAACTTGGAACCCGATGAAATGATGCAAAAGACCTGAAAGAATCAGAGATGATTCTGAGAAATTGAGCAGAGATACAGGTCCAGGAACGTGGCAGCAAGTGCCTAAGTTCAGCAGAGCCCAGCTACATGGTGACAAGTGTCAAATGACAACATTCTAGTGGTGGCATTCCAAGATCTGCTTCCGTCGAATGAACTTGGCTGTGCTGAGTTTCCCTCAGTTCTTACCTTGCTTCTCCAACATCTTCAATGATTTTGTGAACTATTCAATATCCTTTCATTGAAGTCCTGTTTTGCTTAAGTTGTCTAGAATTTGTTATTTTCAGTGAAAAATATAAACCAATTATCCCCTCACATTAAAACACACTCCTCTTAGGCATCTCCTCTGATCTCACTGGAGAAAACTCTGGACATTATTTGTAATTTGACTCAGAATCATAGGATTAGTTTGGTACTAGTAACAATGGAGATAAGTAACTAACTTTTTGTGAAACTTCTTCCTGGGGTGAAACAAAATCTATTGTGGAAACTCTTTCCAATTATCTCTGGAAATTTATTAAGTGACCTAGTATATAATGATAATTTACCATGATATTTGATAAAATAGTTTTGTGTGTTCAGAATAATTTCTTTTTTCTTTACCTTTGAAAATAATGCATTGATAGTTAATTTTCTCCTAAATTGTCTGTTTTTATTTCCATAAAAGGTATTTATTGAATGTCTCCTTACTTTTAATATAACTAGGCATTGTGTGATCAAAGTAAAATAAATATGTTCTTGTTTCTGGAATTACTAAAGCTTTGAAAATGGACTTATCGACCTCAAACCAATGGGACATATTCCTATGTGGCCTGCTCCCCTGTTAGGGTTCCCAGGGTAAGTGGTGATTCCTTTCCTGTCTTTTTAAAGATTTTAGAAATGCAGTTTCTTCTGTGGACCACTAGGCGGAGTACTTCAGAGCAGGGTTTGTGGGAGTACAAAGCTAACTTCTGCTGCTTTTGCTTGATGCTTCTGCAGCTTCCTTGACTACTGTGGATGATAAGTAGTTATTTTCTTCCTCTTCTTTATTTTTCCCCCTCACTCTTTGGAGTTAACTTGAAACATTTAGGAAGTTTGTTGATCAACATATACCGTGTTGATGAAAATCTGGGTAAGATAATATGGTAGGACTCCTTTGGTTATAAATAATAGAATTCAAACTCAAACTGGTCTAAGCCAAAAAAAAAATATAGGGTGAGGGACATGGGGAAATGATTGATCAAGTATTTAAGAAATGACCTGGGTGGAAGCTACATCAAAGGGTATGAGATTTAGCACATCAGTCCTCAAATTTTTGGTTTTAGGAACACTTTACATTTTTAAAAGTTATTGAGAACCCCAAAGAGCTTTTATTTATTTGGATTATGTCTATCTATATTTATCATAATAAACATTAAAACTGAGAAATTAAAAAAATATGCTTATAAGTTTACGTAAATCACATTTTTATTTAAAATTATCATTTTTAAGCAGTAAAGTTGGTGAGAACAGTGACATTGTTTTATATTTTTAGGTATGTCTTTAATGTCTGGTTTAATAGAAGAAAATTTGTTCTCCTTTCTGCTTCTACATTTAATTTCTTTTGACATCACATGTCAGGTAGCCTCTGGGAAACTCCAATTATACTTGAGAGACATGGAAATTGGAAAAGGTAAACAAAACCTGTGTATTTTTATGAAAAGACATTTGACCTTGCAGAGCCCCTGGAAGGGACTCAGGGACTTCTCAGGGTTCTCTGTCTCATGTGTTCACAGAGTAGAGGGTAAGTCCACAAGAGAAAGCAGTGATTGGGTGTGGGAGGTCTTGCTGAGAGGTGGTAGAGAAGAGGTTGGATGTGGAGAAAGTATGGTCCTTGTTTTCATTTCTTTTCCCTTTCCTTTGGCCTCTTGTTGCTGGGATTTCCTCTTTAAATGATCGTATCATAAATTGGAAATAGCATTAATGAACATTCTTGATACTGCCTAATGAAAGCTTTTGTTTTGTCTTTCTGAGTCTTGATACATTTCAAGAAGTCTTCTATCTCATTTATTGTTCCCACCCAAATTTGGAATTTAGGAAGAGTCGATATAGCTATATTTAGATGATTTATCTCTCTGAAGACATTTTGGGATCATTTATAAATCTCTGTAAACAATGCTCTGATGTCCCTTTATTTTGTTTAGAGACTGGGTCTTGCCGTGTTGTCTGGAGTGGAGTGGCTAGATCGTAGTTCACAATACACAATACAATCAAACTCCTGGGCTCAATGTGATCCTGCCACTCAGCCTCCACAGTAGCTAGGTCTGCAGGTGTGTGCCAGCACGCCTAGCTTTTAATTACTATTATTATTTTTGTAGAAATGGGGGTTTCATTATGCTGCTCAGGCTGGTCTTCCAACTCCTGGCCTCAAGCAATCCTCCTGCCTTCCGCCGTCTGAGGAGCTGAGATTACATGTGTAAGCCACCATGCTGGTCCTGATGTCATTTAAATACAAACATGATACTATATTCCTTGTAGAAAGTGCCACATAAATATAATTTTTTTGAAATAGGGTCTTGCTGTGTCACCCAGGCTGGAATGCAGTCGTATGATCACAGTCACTGCAGCCTTGACCTCCTGGGCTTAAGCGATCCTCCCACCTCAGCCTTCCAAGTAGCTGGGACCTGAGTTATGAGCCACCAAGCCCAGCAAATTTTTCAATTTTTGGTAAAGATGGGCGTATCACTGTGTTGCCCAGGCTGGTCTTGAACACTTGGGCTCAAGTTACCCTCCACCCAAGTCTCCCAAAGTGCTTAGATTACAGGCCTGAACCACTGCACTGGGTCCTAAAAATTCATTCACTTTCTTTGTTTGTCCACAAGGTGCTGCTGTTTCCTTTCTAAGAACATGAGACAGCTCACTCAAGAACATCAAGAACATGACATTCTCTAAAAAAAGCCACAGTAGTTCCTTTTCCATAACTATTAAGTTTTCAAGGTGTTATCAGGTTTATTTCATAGAAAGAATGTGTAAAATTTTTCATGTAGAAACATAATCTTTTAGCAATGAGTTAGTTAAAAAAATTTGGCATTGTCAGAATGAAGATTTCCTTTTCCCTATAATTTTATTTATTATAATTATATTTTTAATGATTTCAATTGCTTTATAAAAACTCATTACATTATATACCCAATGACTGTGAAATCGTCTGCTTTGAAGCACAGTGAAATAATCAATCAGCATACTGGGTCTAACACAGTTCCTTCCATTTTAAGAAAGCTATTTACACTCCAATTTGCAAGTTGGACTTTACAAAAATTAAAGCATTTATAAAATATACTAACTATGATTGTTTTAAAAAGTAATGTTTTTTTATGGTAAGGAAATAAATTGAAGCTCTGTGTTGGAAAATGCAGAAAACAAATCAGCATTCTTTATAAATAGATTTTACTGCTGGTTTAGAAATTACCTAATGTGCTTTATAGAAGATGGAAAACGAAATCAGCTGCAGTTAGCCGTGTGCATACATCGTATTTGCTGTGTCACTTTCAGAAAGGTTATGGAATATTGGCAGGTCAGGATTCTCAAAATGATAAGTTCTAAGAAGAGTCTAAATAAATGAAAAAGAATTTTAAAAGCAAACCTAGTTGTTTAATATAAACATGGACGAGTTATGGGGAAATCCTGGACTGGGAGCTAACAGATCTATGTTCTGACTTTTACTAAGTCATTGGCTGCTACAGCAGGCCAAGCAGACATAACTGCCAAGGCTGCCTGGGAGTGGGGTTGATTGACAATTGGCACAGGGAGAGAGGACAATTGCCAGAGTAATGGCCAAATATTCAGGGTTTCATGTTCAGTGAAGCAGGAGAGCATTTGTATCACAAGGGCAAAACTGACGCTAGAATCTGGGCCTCCTGGCTGAATCTGAGTCCACAGTTTGATGAGTAGGATGAAGTAGTCTCAGAAATTCAAGCCAGCCAGAACCCATGAAGTGTGCTCTGCAGATATTGGCTGGCGAGCTGCATTAAGATGTTTCATTCCATTGAGCAAACATTCCTTGATTGGTTAGGTTAGCATCCCACAAGAGCAGAGACAAATTCTTCAGAATTTGTCCTTGAAGCTATAGTCCCAGAGCTTATATTTCAAGGGAGGAAACAGCATCTCAGGATGGTAGGTGATTACGGCTAAACCGAATTCTGAAAATAAAAGGAACCCTATGTCTTTGTCTGCTCAGGCTGCTGCTACAAACAACTGTAGACTGAGTGGCTTAAACAGCATATACTTGTTTCTCACAGTTGTGGGAATTCAAAGATTAAAATCTGGGCCAGCAGAGCCAGTGTCTGGTGAAGGCCCTCTTACTGGTTTGCAGGTGTTCTTGTTTTATCTTCACATGGCTGAGAGAAGAGGGCTCTAGTCTCCTACTCTTCTTATTAGGATGCTAACCCCATTGTGGGGACTCCATCCTCATCAAAACCAAATTACTTCCCAAAGGTCCTCCTTCTAATGCCATTCTATTGTTAGAGTTTCAACTTGTGCATTTGTTGAAGGAAACATGCAGTGCACAGCATCTAATCTAATCAAATCAGTTGTCCCTTGAATAAAATTCTAGCTCCTATAACAAGACTTAAAATTATGACTTGGTTGTTAACAAAACTGTCTATCTGGATTTGCTAGAAATCAAACGTACTTGAATATTTCCTCTAAAGATTTTCTCATTCCTACCCTATTGTGTATATTTACAGAATTCTTAAATAATTACATATACAAGGCTTCTATTAGCTCTGACGAGAGCTTCTATTAACTTTGACTATTGCAAGCAGCTTTATAGCACTGTAGGTAAAAGCATGTGCTTTGAAATCATAAAATAAATTTATTAAATGCTAAGGACTTTATATTCACTGTTTAATTTTATCATCTTAATAACCTTCATTATTACCTCCATTAAATCCTATTTGTTGGCTACTTACATTATTCTGATTTTGCAAATCTAAATTTGAGAGGCTTTCCTAATGTCACATAAGTTAATAACTGGCATAGCTGGGGTTTGAATTAAAGTCTACCGGATTCCAAGATCTATTTACCATTGTTCTACAATATGTACTTTTTAGGTCCCTGAGAATGCTAACAGCTTTTCTTTTGAAATCTGCCTTCTTTCTGGATAGCAGCTTTATTAATATGTGATTATGGCACCATATTTCAGGCAACAAATTCTTTGAAATCTTTCATTTCCATAGTGAGATAAGGATCAGTTATGTGGCATTGTCAGCCAGAAAACATCATTTAGAGACTATCTTGTACAAGAAGTAGAAGACACAGCTGGGGGCCTGCGGAGGACAGAAAGCTCACAGCTTCTGTCCATACCCCTTTCACTTCCTCCTCAAGGAGATGGACCTCTGTGGTTGGTCAAGCTTAAGGATCTTTTATGGGCCACAGCTAATGGTGAAATCTTCCTAACTCTAGGTGAAGATTAATGGGCAAGTTGGAGAGTTAAGGTAGCTTGTGGCTGCTCCTTTTAGAAGAAAGTCTGATCATTGCTCTCTTATTTGTGGAACCCCTCTGTTCCCCCAAATGCTTGGTAAGACATGCCTGAAGACGAATCCTGTGTCAGTAGACTTCATATCTACTCTCTTCTACCAATCACACAACTACAGACAAATAAGAAAAATAAAACAAAGCTCAGACACACTCCCCTGGCATGGAGGCCACTCTCCGGCTGGCTGCTTTTCTCTACCCTGGCGCCTCCTGGGAATTTGGCTCTTTCTTAGATCAAAGCGAGACATAGGTTTGGGATTAAAGAGAAGTAGCTGAAAGGAGTCTCTGGCCTGTTTTGGCATTAGACCAAGTAAATAACAGAGTTCTGGCTTAAGCTCAGCTCTGTAGAGCTTTCTCTGTGTTTGGGGAAAATCTCCGATAGTAATGAAGTGATATTTTATTGTGCTTCGTTTTCTGTACATATATCTCTTTCTTAGTTATGTTGTGAGGAGACTCGTTCCCTGGACAAATACCATCTTAATCACCTTCATTACCAACTTTATTTTATTTGCAGAGTTAAAGTTTAAATAGACATTCAGGAAACAAGTCTGGTGAGAGAATTATGTTATGAAGTTAATCTTTCAGCATCTGCCTTAGGGACATTAATTATTTTCCCCTTTGTTTTTCACCAAGCTCCAGGCTTGCAAAAGAATTGTGATGTGGTCTGAGGCAAACTTACTGATTGGCTAGTGGTAAGTTAAACCATAACCTGTAGGACCGCTGGGAACCACTACTTGTCATCGGCCAGAAATCCACTGTTTGGAGGTGTGCGCTGGGAAGGCTATTCATACTTATTGATACATGTTTTGTTCTTGGCACTATGTTAAGTACTGGACACATGCAACAATTTGGAATATCGTTACATTCAACCCTCACAGTAGTCTGATGTATATGTTATTAGTCCCATATTAGAGACGAGTAAACAAGATTAGAGGAAGAGCAGCACACAGCTGGAACCACACAGGCGGCACTGGGATTGGAAGCAGTTCCGTCTCACCCTGGACCATCATTTCCATGCTGTGTCTCCACTAGAGGATCCTTTCTTTGGTTCTTCTAAGTCATTAATCATCAATAATTTATCTCCAAACCGTAGGTTTCACAGGAGGAGATGCTACTTGAAGGTTCATGGCTTAAAATGGAGATGGAATGGTGGAACATGGTGGGAAGAACCGGGAGGGGTTTATTGATAAATTTCAAGTACTTTGTGGGGCTCTGAAAGACTGTCTTCAAATTCTTTGTCCTACTACCTCTTTCATATTAGTTCAAATGTCATATGGGTATATCTTTTGGGTTAAATTAAGGAAAATCTCCATGAAAAGTAAAAAAACAAACAAAAAAACCCCAAAGGAATAGAAAGAGATACTATGAAAAATCCACTCAGATTTCTCAGAGTTTTATTAACTCAAAGAAGACTTGGTCCAGTTGGAAGAAGACAGAATTGATTTTGACACCGTTTAGCAAACCCTTTAGCGTTCAATGCACTCTAGATCATGAGTATAAAGAAGTTCACTTAATAGGTTCACCAAATTAGTTAGTTTGTGTAGTTCAAAGGGAAACAGACACACAGGACTGTGAGGTTTTGACAGGGGTGAAAGGCAAGTCTGGGTCCATTGAGCCCTGGAAGGCCATGAAGGGGCAGGGCAGGAGAAGGATGGTGCTGGGAGCCTAGGGAACTGGCCACTTCTGTGCTGGCTGAAGATCACAAAAATCAACACAGCTTTCTCCAAATGCTGCCCGTGCCTGATGGAATTAAACAGAGCTCTGAGAAAGACAGCACCGGGGCCGAGGATGCGTCCTGAGCTGCCTACAGTCATCAATATCTTGGCCAGTGGCTATGCACTCAGGGGCAATTTGGCTAGCTTTCTTGATCCGCACCAGAAAACTCGCTTTTGAATTGGTTTGGAAAGCTCCAAAAGGGACGTGCTTCATGCTATTGGTATTGCTGTCAAAAAGAAAAGATTCTGCTTTTCATCAGCTGTTGATTTTTGCTCTCTGTATTTCTCTAGCATGTGTTGCTGGTGGCCCTGGTTATGCTAACAAGTAGATAGTGTAGCTGCAGCAGCAGAACAGAAAAGACTCTCCTGGATTCTCAGTTCCAGGCTGGCCTCGGAACAGGCTTAGGGATGTTTCAATGCTTGAATGCAGGTGAGCTGGAGATCTGTGGCAATTCTTTTGACATGAGGCTGGACATTCTTTATAGCTTCCCCAGACACAGGAATTTGCAGAGCTTGAAAAAGAATCACTGGCAGGAGGTTCATTTTCTTTATTGCTACTTCCCCAGCCATAAAACTAAAAGCTTTTTACCTAAATCACGTTAGCCATCTCGTGACAGTAGGAGATCATTTCCTTCAGAGTCTTTCCCGATTGGAGTCTAGTCCTAGGGTGGTTTGAACGGTCCGTTTGAATTTGAAGAGCTTTCTAATTGATGCTTCTCATCCCCTCTCCAACCAGTCTTATTTGGTGTCATCTGCCTTTCCCCTTCCTCCCTACCAAACCTCAGAGTCTTGAAACAAAAATCTTTGTATTGTAAACTTCATCATGTTAATTTCATCACTTCAAATGAAATTTCCCTTGTTTGAGTTTCCTCCAACTGTGTGACTTAGGGCTGTTGAACTCTTTCAAATACACAGGAAAACGGAAACCTCTTTTGCTGTCTATTGATTGTATAATAATACATTTTCAGATGCTAATCACATGCTTTGAGCTTGGTTAATGAATGAAATTCTAAGGATATTCTTATTTGAAAGGTTTACAAATATAATAACTGTCATTATATCTAATTCTGTCTACAATTCTGGTGTGAAATGAGAAGTCAGGAGCCCTGCCATCTACACAGTACATGATTCTACCAGCTATTTCTGTGTTACTTCAAGCAAATCACTTCTTTTCTGCCTTTTCTTTCTTTTTATGTAAAATGTGGATAACTATCTGTCTCACTGAATTCACAGAGTGACTGTATTATGTACAATAAAATTTATTGAAAAGCGTAAAGTTCTATAATTAGGTAGAATGTTACCTGTAATTTATAAGCTTTTTAAATCCTGGGGCAGTGGAGGAAGTATTCCTCTTCCTGTAAAAGGACATCCCTCTAATAATCTCCCTTCTTTTCCTGACTTTTCACGGATTCTGTTCATTGCTTTTCCATTTGTCATCTGCATCTTCAATCTCTCTCCTTCTTGATGCATTCTGTCAGCATTTAAATATAAATTTTTCATTTAAAATATCTTCTGTTTTGGAGGAACCTTAACTTTGACTCTGTGTGCTTTCTAGCTATCAAGCCATCTCCTCCTTTCTTGGAAAATTTTTCTCAAGGATTTTCCACACTTACTATCTCCTTTTGCTCATTTTCCTTTCACTCTTTATTCAGGTCAGTTTGGCTTTCACTTTCATCAAGCCTATGAAACTGCTTGTGCTAAGGTCACCATATAAGAGTGCTAGGGGCTTCCATCACAAGCTGCCACAGATTGAGTGGTTTATCTTCTCAAGCTCTGAAGACTGGAAATCCAGGATGGAATGTCAGCAGGTTTGCCTTCTTCTGAGAACTGCTGTCTTGCAGATGCCTCCCTTCTTGCTGTGTCCTCAGGCTGTGTTGCCTGTGTCTCAATCTCTTTTTAGATGGACACCTGCCATATTGGTTTAGGGTCCACCCATATGGCTTCATTTGACCTCACTTACCTCTTTGAATGCCTTCTCTAAATCAGTCCCTCTGAGGCAGTGGGGATCAGCTCTTCAACATAGGAATCTGGGGGGACACAATTCAGCACCCCCAGAATTGGTGATTCCTAAACATCATGAACACTATTCCTCTTTCTTTCTTTCTCTCCCTTTCTTTCTTTCTTTCCTTCTTCCTTTCTTTCCTTCTTTCTTTCTTTCTTTCTTTCTTTCTTTCTTTCTTTCTTTCTTTCTTCTCTTTCTCTCTTTCTCTCTCTCTTTCTTTCCTCTTTCTTTCTCCCTTCCTTCCTTCCCTCCCTTTCCTAACCTTCCCTCTCTCTCCCTTCTTTCCTTCCCTTTCCTTTCCTTTCCTTTCCTTTCCTTTCCCTTCCCTTCCTTTCCTCGCTCTCCTTTCCTTCTTTCCTTTCCTTTCCTCACCCTTCCTTCCTTCCTTCTTTCCTTCCTTCCTTCCTTCCTTCCTTCCTTCCTTCTCTCTCTTTCTCCTTTTCTTCCTTCTATTTACTTTTGTTTATATAAAATTTATGGGATACGTGTGCAATTTTTTTCCATGCATAGTGGTCAGTTCAAAGCTATTAGGGTATCCATCACCAAAGTGACATATATTGTACATATTATGTAATATATAAGTCCAATGGGGTCTCAGGAACATTCGGTAGAGTAGACCCCTGAACTCTTCCTCTAGCTTGAACTATTTCCTTATCAGCTTCTCCCTGTTTGCCCAAACTTTAAATGTTGAAGTTCCTAAATCCTGGGTCCTCTTCTGTTCTTATTCCATACTAAGCTTGTCCAACCAATGGCCTGTGGGCCACGTGTGGCCCAGGACAGCTTTGAATGCAGCCAAACACAAATTTGTAAACATTCTTCAAGCATTATAAGATATTTTATGATTTTTTTTAGCTCATCCTCTATTGTTAATGTTAGTATATTTTATGTGTGGCCCAAGACAATTCTTCTTATTCGAATGCAGCCAGGGAAGCCAAAAGGTTGGACACCCCTGCCTACACAGACTCTAGACAAGGTTTTATTAATTCCTATGGCTTTAGATACCATTGATATGCATATGGCTCCTACAGACCTCTCCTCCCAAGCTCCAAAACATGTGCTCCTGCCATCTTGAAATCTCCACTGGGATTTTCACAGGCATTCCTAAAATCAGAATACAAAACTCTTGAGTTCTGCCCCCACATCTATGCCACTTCCTCAATCATTTCCCTTTTGTTAGTTTATTTCTTCTTCAGCCTTATCATTCTTTATAAAAATCGTCTCCATTTACCCATTGGCTTCTTCCAGAAAGCATCATCATCCTTGATGCTTTCTTCTTCCTGCAACCCCCCCTACCATCACA
Organism: Homo sapiens; assembly: GCF_000001405.40. Lineage (NCBI taxonomy): Eukaryota > Metazoa > Chordata > Mammalia > Primates > Hominidae > Homo > Homo sapiens. The sequence continues at coordinate 12,294,537 of NC_000022.11, forward strand.
ACTTGCAACCAAGTACTGTTATTTCACTTTCAAAATATGTGCTAAAATTATCCGCTTCTGTCATCCGCATCTTTCAGCTGATCTGCAAACATATACTCCTCTATCCAACTTTTTGCCTCTCCAATACCTTCTCTATGGCACACCCAGAGAGGTTCTTCAAAAATTTGAATTAGATCATGTATCTCCTTCGTTTAAAAATCTTTAATGATTTTCTACCCATGAAATAACTCTGCTAGACTGCAAGCTCTAAAGATGCAAGGACTAGATTTGCCTTATTTGTTTCTGTTTATGCAGAGCCTAGCCTTGCATTTAGTAGGAAGTTAACACATTGATCTAGATCTTGTCCACCTCCTCAGCCTCACCTCTCATGGAAGCACTCATAGACCTCAGTCCAGTTACTCTTTCCTCAGATCCCTGAGCTGGCGTGGTCCAGGGCTGCCTGGGCCGTGATGCATTCACTCCTGCTTTGTTGGCTGGTATCTGCTTATATTCTTGCTACTGTAACTGATGTCCAAGGCAGTCACATAGGCATCCCTGGGAGCTTGCTAGAGCTCAGGCACCACCCTAGATCCAATGAATCAGAATCTGCTTGTTGACAAGGTGCCCAGGTGGTTCATATGCACATTCAAGATTACGATGCTTTGCTCTAGATCCCAGCCTGAGTATTAGTTCTTTAAAGAGACCTTTCCCAACTGGCCAAATCGTATTAGGTCATGTGATGGATTCACCCACACGGTCTGTGATACAGAAGGGAAAAGGAGTTGAGGCCTATTGATCAGAAGCTGCTCACTTTACAGTTTTACCTAAGGGTGATCCTATCGAAAGTTCTGGATTTTGTAGAGAAGGATACAAAGTAGTGAATAGTTTGATTTGAGAAAATTGAAAATTGCCAGTTTTCTTTGCTTTAACCAATATGTTTGCTCTCCCTCTGAAAATCCCTTGTTACAAGTCCTTAGTTTTAGTTTGCCACATTATGACACGATGGGAATAATGCACAGCAGTGATCCTCAGTTGGTTTGGGTTTTCAATACACAATTGATCCATGGTTGTGGCATGCATTGTAGAATGTCCAGCTAGAACACCTATTCTTTCAGTTACTTTCATTACTTTCAATGGCAAAACCACAATTACTTTTGCACTAACCTGATAGCTTTGCTACAAGTCAGTTGTTCAGTTTTTTTTTTTGTTGTTGTTGTTTGTTTTTATTTTTGCAAACACTTTAGATACTGCATAGTGGATGGATTAGTTTGTGGTTCCTGGGATCTTCTGTGTTTTGTGTTGAAGCTCAACAACCACATTACTGCAGACCTCCAAAATTTTACAAAAGACTGCATAGTGAGTATTCAGCCGATAAACTAAACCACAGCTTATTACTGTGAGATGAAAGAAAGCACACCAATGAAAAGTAAACACTGTTTAAACGTATCTCAATGAATGTCTAAAGTGTCATACATTTATTATATTCTCTACTTGTAAAATATTTTGTTGTGTGTATTGCCAAGTATTTCAGGATTTTATGGGTATAAAGTATTCTATTAATTTAACTGGAAAACTTGTAGTTATTCAACAAGCAAACTAAAAGTGTTGGCAGAGATGTAATTTTAAAGCACAATTCCACACATTCCTTCAGTATTACAGCTGCTCCTTGTTTGTTTAATAACAGAACTGATGAGTAGTTAATTTGAGAGGAAATCTGGTGCAGGTGTAGTGCTATTTAGATGTCATGGAGGACACATGTGACATCTGCAGCTAGCTATATGGTAAAAGCAAAACAGAAGTTAAAATCAGCCCTGTGTCAAATCTGCATAGTTTTAGGCTTCAGAGAGTTTCTCTGTATGTTGAGGCCGGAAGTTTAGTAGAATTCCAAGGGAATAAGAGAGGAACCAACATTTGTAGATTTTGCCTTCTATGGGGGAACTCATTCAATTATCAGGAGAACTCTTCAATAGGTTTTATTTGCTCCAGTTAACCTAGATGAAAAATTGAGACCCAGAATCCATGCTTTTCTTTCCTGGTTACACATTAGAATCACCAATGTGATATTAAAAACACACACACACACATTGCACAACGATTAGGATGGCTGTTATCAAAAAAGAAAAAACAAAAAAATCAGGGGCCATGCACGCTGGTTCACACCTGTAATCCAAGCCCTTTGGGATCACCTGAGGTCTGGAGTTTGACAGCAGCCAGGCCAACATGGTGAAACCTCATCTGTACCAAAAACAAAACAAAACAAAAAACAACACACACACACACAATTAGTCGGGCATGGTGGCATGTGTAATCTCAGCTAATTGAGAGGCTGAGGCACGAGAATCGCTTGAACCTGGGAGGCGGAGGTTGCAGTGAGCCGAGATCACGCCACTGCACTCCAGCCTGGAGACAGAAGGAGACTCGGCCTCAAAACAAAACAAAAACACCCAGAAAATAATAAGTGCTGACAAGGATGTGGAAAAATTGTAACTCTTGTGCATTGAGGGTGGGTATGAAAAATAGTACATCGGCTGTGGAAAACATATGGTTCCTCAAGAATTTAGACATAGAATTACCATATGATTCAGTAATCCCACTCACATCTATAAATCTCTATATCTGTATCTTTATCTACCTATATCTATCTTCAAAAGAATGGAAAGCAGTTACTCAAATAGATACTTGTGCACCTGTGTTCTCTCCCCATCCCACCCCCCCTTTTTTTTTTTTTAATAAATAGGGTCTCATTCTGTTTCCCAGCCTGGAGTGCAGGGGCTGATTATAGGCATGATCCCCCTGCTGGGGAGCTGTCCACAGGCACGACCCCCTGCTGCGGGGCTGTCCACAGGCACAATCCCCTGCTGCGGGGCCGTCCAGAGGCACAACTTCCCTGCTGAGGGGCTGTCCACAGGCATGACCCCCTGCTGCGGGGCTGTTTACAGGCACGATCCCCCTGCTGCGGGGCTGTCCATGGGCACGATCTCCCTGCTGCGGGGCTGTCCACGGGCAGGATCCCCCTGCTGCGTGGCTGTCCACAGGCATGACCCCCTGCTGGTCAAACTGGGAGTTGTGCCCTGCTTTGTCTCCAACCCAGGCCGGTTCGCCCCTCCTTAGGCAACCTGGTAGTCCCTTACCCCAGGAGGTCACTGTACTAATGTCTAATTTCGTGCAGACATCTGATCAACACAGCACCCTGCAGCCCAGGACTCCTGGGCTCAAGCGATCTTCCTGCCTCAGATGCCTGAGTAGCAGGAACTACAGGCGCATGCCACCACACCTGCCTGCTACACCTGTGTTCATTGCAGCATCACAGCAGCCTTATTTACAGGAACCACAAGGTGGAAACAACCTAAAAAGTCTATTGAGGGACGATGGATAAACAAAATGTGGTATAGACATAAAATGGAATATTAGTGATCTTTAAAAAGGGAGGGAATTCTGATACTTGCTACCACATAGATAAAACTTAAAAACATTATGCTAAGTGAGACGTCAAACACAGACTACGTGATTCCATCTATATGAAGAACCTGGAACAGGCAAATTAATAGAGACACAAAGTAGAATAGAGGTTTTCAGGACTGGCAGGAGGTAGAAATGGGCGGGGTTAGTGTCTAATGGGCACAGAGTTCCTGTCTGGGATGATAGAATGTTTCAGAAATGGATAGTGGTGATGATTGCACAGCATTGTGAATGTAGCTAATGACATTGAATTATTTACCAGAAAACAAAAGCAAAAACAGAAACATTGCTTAAGCTTCCCAGTCAGACAGGTGATGTGCTTGGTGTGAGCTGGGGCCTGAGACCAGGCTGCCCTAGCCAGAGCGGCTTCAAAACCCCTCTTCATTGTACTTAGGCCTGATTGCTCTGGAGAGCCCCATACGTGAAAGCCAGCTCTGGTTCTATCTCTTCTCACTCCAGTCCTCCCTACCCCCACCATCCCCCAGCTGAGCATTATGAGAAAAGCAAGATGACTATGAGTTTTCTGATTATTTATATGACCAAATAATCTCAGGGACTATTGCTAACCAACCCATGGGATTCCCACTACCTTCATGAGTTTCAGACGAGGTGAAGGGTCCCTAAAATCCTGCCACCTTGTCAGGAACTCAGTTGTCAATAATTTCTTTATTTGTGATACAAGCAGGGATGGGGAAAGAGAAATGAGCAGACTTGGAAGCTTCTCCGAGGCCCTAGAGAATACCTCTGGGCTCCGAACACCAGACGCCAGGAGAAAGGAGGGTGGTTGATGACTCCCCACTCTTTCTCCAGCCCCTGCTCCTCTGTTTCTCCCCTTCACCCACTGCAGCTTCCTCAGGTCCTGGGTCCCGTGCCATCATCTCTTCGAATGACCTCCTTTCTATCCCTGTTAATAAAGGAGCATCAGCTAAGTGAACGTGGTGATTTGCATTCACTTACATTGATTCAGAAATTGTGTTTAATTCCACACAAGAAAAAGAATGTGGATCTTTTTCACTGGGAAAAAAAAAGTCACTATGTATCATCTTAATCATGTTTTCCTGGGATATAATCTATACATGACAACTATTTAAGCCTTCATTGCATCTATGCACGTGGTTTGATTCCTCTCATGTGAAATAGTGTTGGACCACATGAGTTTGGGCCACAGCCCAGGAAAACACAATCCTAAACATCGTAATCCCAAATGTTGAAGTCCCAAAAGATCTAAATCTGTACAGTCTAAAATCCTGAAAATTACAATCCTAAAAAAACAAAATTCGAACATACAATTCTGGAAAAAAATTATTAACACATTCTTTAAAAAGCACTTATTGGGCAGCGCATGGTGGCTCATGCCTTTAATCCCAGCACTTTTGGAGGCTGAGGCGGGTGGATCACAAATTCAAGAGATGGAGACCATCCTGGCTAACACGGTGAAACCCCATCTTTACTAAAAATACAAAAAATTAGCCAGGCATCGTGACGGGTGCCTGTAGTCCCAGTTACTCGGGAGGCTGAGGCAGGAGAATCGCTTGAACCCAGGAGGTGGAGGTTACAGTGAGCCGCGATTGCACCACTGCACTCCAGCCTGGGCGACAGAGTGAGACTCTGTCTAAAAACAACAACAAAAAAGCATTTATTTGTATTTTTAAGATGGAATTTATTTGAGAAACGTATAAAAACACAACAGAACGCTTCCTAGGCCACTTTACACAATCAATAGGCAATAATAACATACATATATTTGCAAGCATAAAACTCAGGTATGCTAACGATAGTCTCACGGGTATAATGGTAATGAGCAGACGAGTTGTACTTGTAAAGAAATGGGTCAAAAAGCAAAATGTATAAAAGCATGGTTGGTAACTGGGTGCACTCAGCTTTATAACTTAGGTCATCTGGAATATTGTGACAGACAACCTAAGTCTTTCGACCAGATTCATCAAAAGCTGGGATGGGTCACCATCTAATATGCATTCAAAGAGCTGAGACCCTGAGGAATTTTCTCTTTCCCAAATGCAAATGTGCAAAAAGGATATCTTCTCATTTATTGAGGAAACTTTAATGTTTTTATGTACATGTACAATGCTTACACACAAAGTCAGTCTTGTGATAATGCACTCTTGTGGAGTTAAATTTGCAAAAAAAATGCATAAAACAAATTAGAACTCTCTAAAAGTCTTTGCAAAATTTATACCTCCAGTATTGGAAATGATACTAAGATGAAATACACAGCATAGCAACTTGTAAAAAATAATGCTGACAATTTAAAATAGTGGAAAAAATGGAAAAAGAAACAACTAAAAAGAAAATTGACACATAAAAAGTATATTACATGGATAGATTATGGGCAATTGCAGAGTTCATCATAGCTGGCTGACTTTCATGATCATTAGCTATATTTTGAAGTCATGCATCACGATGAATAGTTGCCTTTTTTGTTTTTAGGATTTGACTCTCCTCATAAAATACATTCACATTCATTTTCTACGTGACACTGCTCTTTTTGAAATTCTTCTATAATTTGATACACACTGACATAAGTATTTCCTATTACATTTTCCAATCTTCTATGCCATTCTTGTCTATTGTTTTGAGTATGTGGAAATCCATTTTGCAGGCCATCATATACAGACCACTCATTTGGCAGAAACAATACTCTTGATTGAACAGCAACACCGTTGCCTAAATGACTTCTTATACTACCTTGCACATCATTATTTTCAAACCAGTATGTAATATTTCTGTCTTCTTCAGGCAATTATGGTTTTAATTTATCAAAAGCTCCTGGAATTTTATCAGGTGGGAGGAATGCCAATACAGACAAATGACACATTTTTAAACTAAAATTTTCATCCTTGCCAGATAGTCTGGCCAATCCACTCACCTGAATTTTCTGGCAAATGAGCTGGGCTGAATGGAAGATATAAACTTTACTGGTAACATCTTGCATTTCACTTTTAGAAGCCTTGATCACACCTAATTAAAAACTTGTCATTATAGTTTGGGGATCCAATTGAAATCTATTTTCCTCTGCAAAGCCCTCCAAATCTTCAAATAAGCTTTTAAAAAGTTCTTCACTTTTTCCAGTTATTAAACAATAAACATGCAGATTAAATTACAGAATTTTGTAATCCAATGGGGGCATAAACTGTATAAAGTTGATTTAAAAAACCCACTGGGGACAGTTTTGAAAGTGCCGTTCATCAGCCAAAGTGAAACATGCACCAGTTTTGTTATGTTAAACTTAGTGGTAAATAAACATGTTTACCTTTTTTGACAGTCAAATCCCTAATCAAGAATAGTTCATGATTTAATATGTCTTGTAGCACTGGAGGAAGCTCTGTGCCAGGAGGTGTCTGGCTCAGAAGGCCACTGAATTTTTTGAACTATTTTTATTATCTCACAAAAGGCATTTTGTGAAGGCAAGCATGGTACTACCTGTAGAGGTGCTTGGTACATGATTACATAATTTGGCAGACAAGATTTTGTGCATTTTTTACTTTCATTTTAACTTCTTCTGTGATATTCAAGACATTCAAAACAGTGACAGCAGATCTTCCTCACCTAGTCCGCTCAGACCCACACACTGATCTCTTCTGAGAAAACCATCACAGACATACCCAAAATAATGCTTTCCCAGCTTTCCAGGGATTCCTTAATCCAGTCAAGTTGACACCTGAAATTAAGCCTGCAAGTCCACCCCTTGCAGATTTGGCACCCATATGGACCTCCTTAAACCATATATAATTTCCAAATAAAAAGAAAACAAAGCAACAGTTGTACCTAACACGATGCAACTAACTTGGTACAACTCTCCTGTGAGTGTGATTTTCTGGATTTTAGATGTTAAGAATTTAGACTTTAGGACTGGGTATGGTGGCTCATGCCTGTATTCCCAGCACTTTGGGAGGCCAAGTCAGGAGGGTCACTTGAGCCCAGGAGTTTGAAATCAGCCGGGGCAATAAAGTGAGACCCCATGATATGGTTTGGCTGTGTCTCCAACCAAATCTCATCTTGAATTGTAGTTCCCATAATCCTCACATATCATGATGGGGACCCAGTGGGAGGTAATTGAATCATGGAGGCAATTACCCCCATGCTGTTCTCATGATAGTGAATGAGTTATCACAAGATCTGATGGTTTTATAAGGAGCTTTTCCCCCTTTGCTTGTGATTCTCCTTCCTGCCACCTCGTGAAGGTGACTTGCTTCCCCTTTGCATTCTATCATGCTTGTAAGTTTCCTGAGTCCTCCCCAGCTATGATGAACTGTGAGTCAATTAAACCTCTTTACTTTATAAATTACCCAAGCTTGGTTATATCTTTATTAGCAGCATGAGAATGGACTGATACAGTAAATGTGTACTGAGGTAGTGGGGCGTTGCTATAAGGATATCTAAAAATGTGGAAGTGAATTTGGAACTGGGTAACAGGCAGAGGTTGAACAGTTTGCAGGGTTCGGAAGAAGAGAGAAAAATGTGAGGAAGTTTGGAACTTCCTAGAGACTTGCAGAATGGTTTTGAGGAAAATGCTGATAGTGACATGGACAATGAAGTCCAGGCTGAGGTGGCCTCATATGGAGACGAAGAACTTGTTGGGAACTGGAATAAAGGTGACTCTTGCTCTGCAAAGAGACTGATGGCATTTTGCCCCTGCCCTAGAAATCTGTGGAACTTTAAACTTGAGAGACATGGTTTAGGGTATCTGGCAGAATAAATTCCTAAGTAGCAAAGTGTTCAAGAGGAAGCAAAGCATAAAAGTTTTAAAAATTTTGCAGGTTGATGATGAGATAGAAAAGGAAAACCCATTTTCTGGAGAGAAATTCAAGCCAGCTGCAGAAATTTGCATAAGTAACGAGGAGCTAAATATTAATCACCAAGACAATGGGAAAATGTCTTCAGGGAATGTCAGAGACCTTCACAGCAACTCAAACCATCACAGACCAGGAGGCCTAGGAGGAAAAAAAATGGTTTAATGGGCTCGGTGCAGGGACTTGCTGCTCTGTGCAGTCTCAGGACTTGGCGCCCTGTGTCCCAATCATGGCTAAAGGGCCAATGTCCAGCTCAGGCCATGGCTTCAGAGGGTACAAGGCCCAAGCCTTGACAGCTTACATGAGGCGTTGGGCCTGTGGGTGCACAGAAGTCAAGAATTGAGGTTTGGGTATCTACACCTAAATTTCAGAGGATGCATGGAAACGCCTGGGTGTTCAGGCACAAATTTGTGATGGGGACGGAGCCCTCATGGGGAACCTCTGCTAGGGCAGTGAGTGCAGAAGGGAAATGTGGTGTTAGAGCCCCCACAGAGTCCCCACTGGGGCACTGCCTAGTGGAGCTGAGAGAAGAGGGCCACCATCCTCCAGACTCCAGAATGGTAGATACACTGACAGCTTACACTGTATTGCCTGGAAAAGCCACAGACACTCAGCACCAGCCTGTGAAAGCAGCCAGAAGGAGGGCTGTACCCTGCAAAGCAACAGGGGTGGAGCTGCCCAAGGCCATGAGATCCCACCTCTTGCTTCAGCATGACCTGGATGTGAGACATGAAGTCAAAGGAAATCATTTCAGAGCTTCAAGATTTGACTGACCCATTGAATTTTGGACTTGCATGGGGCGTGCAGTCCCTTCATTTTGGCCAATTTCTCCCATTTGGACCAGGTGCATTTACCCAATGCCTATATCCTCATTGTATCTATGAAGTAACTAACTTAATTTTGACTTTACATGCTCATAGGCAGAAGGGCCTTGCCTTGTCTAAGATAAGACTTTGGACTTGGACATTTGGGTTAATGCTGGAATGAGCTAAGACTTTGGGGGACTGTTAGAAAGGCATGATCATGTTTTAAAATGTAAGGACATGAGATTTGGAAGGGGCTGGGGGCAGAATGATATGGTTTGGCTGTGTCCCCACCCAAATCTCACCTTGAAATGTAGTTTCCATAATCCCTACATGTTATGGGAGGAACCCAGTTGGAGGTAATTGAATCATGGGGGTGTTTACCCCCATCCTGTTCTCATGACAGTGAGTGATACCTGAAGGTTTTATAAGGGGCTTTTCCCCTTTTGCTCAGCACCTCCTGGTGCCTTGCTTCTTGTTTGCATTCACCATGATTGTAAGTTTTCTGAAGCCTTCCCAGCCATACTGAGCTGAGTCAATTAAACCTCTTTCTTTTATAAATTACCCAGGCTCGTGTATGTTTTTATTGGGAGCATGAGAATGAACCAATTCACTCTGTCTCTATTAAAAAAAAGAGAATTTAGACCTTAGGAATTTTAATCTTTCAGGATTTCAACATTCAGTGTTATGGTGTTTGTGACTGGGTCTTCTGGGATTATGATCCTCACCTGGACTAAACAACCTCGCAGCTCTCTTCAAACTATGATCCTATTCTCCCACTGCCCCGAGTTCAGTCTCTTCAACTTGGCTAAGCCTGCCTTTCCTTTCCTATCTGTTTGCTTTCTTCCCTCTGATTAATCCAAAGTAAAATTTGACTTTTTTTTTTCCATTCCAACAACTCCATCTTCTATCACATATCTCCTTTCATGAAGTTGGCCCCTGATAATGTTTCTGTTGACAACAGTATAATATAGACAAGATTGCATATAGTTAAAGTACGTATTTTATTTATTTGGTGGCAGCATTCTGATAAGAAATTAAAACTATTTCTTTTAAAATCAGAATTTAATCACCAGGCAGAGCAAGTAAAGAGAAATAAGTTCCAGAATCTCACATCTGTCAAAAGTAAATGCTGATTTTTATTGAGGACTTCCTTATTTCTGCCACCAGTTGACTCTCATACAGCTTGTTCCCAATAGAATCTAGTGTGGAATTGGCAAATGTGGTGTCATACATGCAGCGCTCTCCTGGAGCTGATAATTAAGTACCCAGAAATTTTATGAAGTGTTTGTCAAACCGTCAGTAGAAATATTTACACAGTGGAAATCAGCAAATGTTACAAATCTGGGCTTCCCCCCACCCAACCAATAGGTTTGCTAGCATACAACTTTTATTCATCTTGTAAACGTTCAGAATTTCTATAAATATTCATAGACTCTCCTATACTGAGTGTCTCAGAATAACTTGAAGTTCTTACAATAGCCAGTGAGGCTGAGTGTGAGTTGACCCAACCCAGTCCCTCTCTCTGACCTGTCTCCTGTTAGCCTTCTGACTCCCAGTGTTCTCTACTTCATGCACATAGGCTAGGCACCCTGCTGTTTGCCTGCCTTTTCTTCCTCGAGTGCTCTTCCCCAGATATCTGCATAGCTGGTGCCCTCACCTCCTTGGAATCTTTGTTCAAATGTTATCTTCTCAGTGAGACCTTATCTATATAAGTTTTCTATGATTGCTGGAATAAATTAGCACACCTCTAGTAGCCTAAAAGAACACACACTCTCTCTAGGGGAGAGAGAACACTTTCTTACCTTCTCCAGCTTTTAAAGGATGCCTGCATCCCTTGGCCCCTGGCCCCCTTCCAGGCAGCAACCACATCATTCTGACCCTAGCTGTCACGCTTCTTGCCTCAGACTCTCCTGCCTCCATCTTTTGCTTTTAAGTCCTCTTGTGATGACATTGGGCCAACATGGGTAATCCAGAATAATCTCCTCATCTCATGATCCATAACTTCATCACATCCATAAGTCCTTTTTGCCATATAGGGATATGGACATGTAAAAAGGCCATTCTTCTGCCTATTACTCCCTCCTTGAGCATTCTAACTACCTTCACATCTACCTGCTCCCAGCATTCCTGAGCTCCCTTCCAAACTTAATTTTTCTCTGTGCCACTTATTACCTTCTGGCATATTATATATTTTACATATTTATTTTATTAATGATCTGTCTTTTCTCACTGGAATATAATTTGCATAGGGTAAACATTTTTGTTTTATATCGTTGACATATTTTCATTAAGTTGAACAGTGCCTTGCTTTTAGTAAGGATTCAAGAAATATATATGTTTTGGCTGAATAAATTAGGTTGAGAAGTTTGGGGGAAAATCCTGGCATGATACAGAAGACGGTTCCCAGTGATGGGAAAGGGCCATGTGGTGGGGCCTCTACAGGAAGCCGGGATGCTCCAGAGGTCCCCCAGGGCAGAGCTGCTTTGCTTACGTTGAACTCTTTGCCCGAGCTCTGATTTCTAATGTTTTCTTTCATATTTGTTTTTGCTCTGCCTTTTTTTAAATTAATTTTTTTATAGATATGAGGTTTTACTATGTTTCTCAGGCTGGTATCAAACTCATGAGCTCAAGCAATCTTCCCACCTCAGCCTCCCAAAGTGTTATTACTAGAGGTGCAAGCCACCACAGCCGGCCTGCTTTTCTCTTTCTTTGAAATATACTCAAAATGTTTATATTGGTTTCTAACTATAGATCATGAACTCCTGAAGCAAAGTAACCACTTTGTTCTTCATTATTTCTTTCACTCTTCTACTCTGCACGGTGCCAGATATTGGATATGTAGGTGCCAAACATTTGCTTTTCTGATATCTTACATTTTATTTCTTAAAAATCAGCCTAACCATGTTGTAGAGAGGGATGATTTCCTTCCTTTGTTTTGAAAATTTGTGCATGCCCAAAGCTTACATTGTGCGGTTCAATGTTGCTTCAGCTTTTTTTTTTTTTTTTTTTTTCTATTTTTGCCAGACTTCCGAAACTCTTAAAACTTGTTTGTGGTCAGCACAGCAAAGAACACGCTTTAGCTTTTAAAAAATCTTTAACATGAAAAAAATGCACTGACATTGTTTTCAATGTAACATAGGCTAGAATTTGCCTATGTTTGCACATGCTGAGAATTGTCCCACCCGGCTGATGTGTTCACCTCTTCAGCTTGGACCTTGTTGTGAATTTATTTACAAACACCAATTGCCTTCAAGCCATCCTTTCTGCTGTATGTTTTGTAGCCTTCTATAGTGGACACACAACAGATAATGTGGAGAGAAAGGACATAAGAGGAGGACGGTAATGAGAGACGTTGTCAAGGTAGTAACCTTCTTGGTTTCTTTGAAGAATTTGTTGCCTTTCTACTGAGACAGCAAAGAAGCATTTTGTTACTGACCGCCTAAAACCACTCAATCTCAGGTGAATGCATCACTTGCCAAGCTGTTGGAATGCTATTTGTGTTTTGTTGCACAATTTTTTGGTTGTTTATTTGGTTGGCTTTTTGGAAGGTAAATTTGGAAAGGCACAGAAGTGCTGACCCACCCACATTCCCTTATTATCATTACAGACAAGAAGAAACTAGCAGAGCTAAGAATGGAGTGAAGAAAGGCAGTGTGATAAGCACCAGCAAAGAGTTGAGGGCTGTTGCTCTCTAAATTATTATTTGATTATTTTAAAAGTATGGAAGTTTTCTAGTCACTGAAGAAAGGAGGGGAAAGTGCACTTATTTTTATATGGAGTTACTTAACTACCTCCTAAACACATACGTGGCAATTGTTTTTGCTTGTGCAAAGTATTTTAATTAGCAAGAATTCATATATTGAGATTATAATTAGAGAGCTCAATTTATATATTTGCTATCCTGCTCAAGCCTGACATGGCAAAAAAAAAAGTTCACTCCAAAATATATACCTTCAAAATAATAAATACTGGAAAGTTTGCTGTGATAACTATTTTGTACTTTTGTACAAAAAAGCTAAAGAACAAATTACCTAAAGAACAATTTGCTAAACATGAGAAGTTACTCCCTTTGAGTATATACAGGTAAGATAGGAAGAGTGTTCAGACCAGTAAATTATAGTTTATATTGAAGATAATAGTCAGTTGACTCATAACAAATAACCAGCATTCATGATAACATTTCAGCATTTCCAAGGTACCAAGTGTACTGATTTTTAAAAATATATTTTAGAAGGAATTTAGAACTAGTATTTTTAACGAAGACTAGCATCTCTGATGTTGCAACATGTATGTTAAATGGGTGTTACATCTATCCTGCCCTTTAACCCCACCGTTAACAAAGTGGCTAAAAATAACAGCAAGAAAAAATCAGTCTAAGGGAGAAAACCACTAATGCTCTCAATTCTCTCTCTCTCTTTCTCTCTCTCTCTCTCTCTCTGTGTGTGTGTGTGTGTGTGTGTGTGTGTGTTAAGGGGGATGGCGGGAGGTGGTCTTAACTCTTGAAAGAAACCTTCTTTGTATAGGAAGCATATTTCGGTTTAGGTACAATGATAAGAAAGTTTAATTTTATAATCCATAAGACCAGATACCTTCAGAAATGATTTTTCCTGTGGGATTTCTATGACTGGTATTCTGACTAGTGTGAAATGGCAGAATTGGATGTCTATATCTACACCCATCAAAACCTCAGAGCTTCATGCACTGCTATAACTTTTCTGTTAACTCTGGGTAAATTAGGAGGCTGGTACAAGGAATAATTTTAACTTCAGATTTTACAGTTTGTTTATGTTAAGGGCAGAAAGATCTATTTTTCAATGATCTGTATTTTTAGATATTGACTTTTTCTGGTGCTATTTTATGATTATGGATAAAATATAATTCTTATTAGAAATCTCAACTCCGAATTGAGAATAGATGTTTTGATGCTTGTCCTGCTGTGGCCTGAGACTTGGAATCATGAATTATAAGAGATCTTGCTGTTTATCTACAGATTAGAACACACAAATAAACATCAGCGTAACATCCTCATTAGCATTCTGGTAGTTACATTTACTTATTCCAGAGCCAAATTAATATATGATAAGAAGTGGAATATTTTCTGTTGATATCTAGGGTATTATGACAACAACCTTCCTTAGAAAAGAAACAGTGTATTATGAGGACAGTGGATGCTACAACATTATTTGCCTTCAAGGCATTGCAAAAAACTGGAATCAATTGAATAACCTTCTCAAGCACAAGCCAATAGTGAAATGAAAGTCATTTATCTGTAACAGCAGGCAAGAGCTTCATTGGTACACTCGGAAGGTGTCTCACTAACCCTGCTGAAGTTTTCCTCCATCTGATCAGGGCATAAATGTTTCATTGGCCCAATAACCAAGGTCTTAGAGTTTCACAGTGTTTTCTCTCCAATAGCTAATAGAGGGAGCATTGCTGACATTCTGCCCATGGTTGCCAAGGCTGAAATCAAACGTGCTTTGAATAACACTATAAAAACTTTGAAATTAACCTTTGCCATTGGAACCAACGTTCAACTGTGGGCTCTATACAAAGCCGCTTAAGGTAGGAGGGAGCAAACTTTTCAAGTTGGTTTTAGGTAACAGAAACAGACGTCTTTATTGGATTTGTCTGGAAAAAAAGGAAGGAAAATCCCAACATTATCTGTTCTGGTCCAGAAGTATAAGGCTCAGTCCCGTTTTATTTTTCTCCTTCTCCTTTGGATCCTTTTTCCTTATTCCTGACTCTATACAAGGAGAAAAAGTTCAAGTGCATCTAAAACAATAATTCTGGGAACTTGCGAACTTATTCCCATGATGCTACTATTGTTTATAAAGCATTTTGAAGATTCTTATATTCAGAGATAGTGATAAGCCACAAGAGGAAGTCAGTCTTGCTGGTGTACAGCTGCATTTTGGGTCCATATATAGAAGAGCTAACATAGATTTCAGAGTCTCCCAGGTGTTTGAAATCCAGGCTCTGCTCTCAGGACCTGTGAGGTCTTAGATAAGTTGCTCAATCTCTTTGAGCCTCAGTTTTCTGAGTACAATGGCACATACCTTACAGGACTGTGGTGTGGATGAATTGCGATGATGTGTATGATTCCAGGTCAGGGTCTTCTTTCCTTCCTTCTTCCCTGCCAGGAGGAAAGCAAGGCAGGACAGCAGAGAGGGAAGTGGTGCCCGTGGAGGCCACTTTTGGGCTGGAGCCTGCTCAAGGCACTTTAGTGCTGAGTCATGTGGGGCCCAAGGTAGGGGCAGATAGAAGAGAAGGAGGGCAGTTATCGCCTAATCACAGGGACAGATAGAAGAGAAGGAGGGCAGTTATCGCCTAGTCACAGGGGCAGATAGAAGAGAAGGACGGCAGTTATCGCCTAGTCACAGGGGCAGATAGAAGAGAAGGAGGGCAGTTATTGCCTAGTAACAGGGACAGATAGAAGAGAAGGACGGCAGTTATCGCCTAGTCAGGAGTTTAACAATCTCTATTTCCTTTCAAACCTCGTTTGACTTCCATTCCAGTCAAATTCACAGGCAATTAAACTTCCTCCTGCATCTCGGAGCAGGCCTCTGCATCATCATTTCTCCTCTGCAAGTGTATCTTCTTCGGGCACGTGAGAAGGTCTTAGTGCACCTGCGGTATTTAGGGACTTGATCCTCTTTCCTCTTTATTGTCAAAGTTGTGGCTTGCCGAAGTCAGGACAGAGTCTGGTTATGACATGTTAGCAATCGTCACATCTCGTTTTTAAGTAAGTATACTTTTATGCAGTTTGAGCTCTCATTCTTGCCATTTATTAATTTGTTCATTCGTTAACACATTCATTTGTGGAGCATTTGGCCTATAAAAGAGATGAAACCCTTCCTTACCATTAAGGGAGGAGAGAAAACAAAATGCACAGAGACACATGCTTGGTTTTGTATAACTTTGACGGTTTCTAAAATAAAATAAGGTCTAACTTGGAAAATCAAAACCTATCACTGAGATATTTTCATAATCTAAAAAGTCAGTTTCAAAAGAACTTCCAAAATGTTTTAAAAAATGACTATCCTTTAGAATAATGATGTAGCATTCCAAGGTTTTAGTGTTCAACCAGCATTTATTACCACCTGCTGGGTGCCTGAGGCAGGACATTTGTAATGAGAGCCACAAACATGAATTGAAAAACTGCTGCCCATAGGTTCACAGTTCTTGTCAAAGCATAGAGCCCCTTGTAGATAGAGCCCCCTGTATAAGATGCCCTGTGTTCTGGGCGAGAGGATAAACTAGGTCTGCAGATATATCTGTAGGCAGAACAGGGAAGGTGTCACTGAGGAGGTGCTATTTGAGTTAGTTGTGAAAAATGAGTACGGGTTTATGAGGCAGATATGAGAGGCACTTTGTTGAAGTTACAACTCCTACCAGGCACTCATTTGAATTTTCTGTTTCATTTGCTCTTTGGAGGTTGCTTGTTGGTACACTTACATCTTCTATGCCAGTCTTAAAAGAGAGGAGTGTGTGTGTGTGTGTCTGCGTTCAGTATTTTTAGCAGAGTTTCTTTGTGTTTCCAAGCTTACTTTAGAGCTGAAGCTTGTCAGAGTTCTCATAACAAATTCGTGATTGAACTAAATTCCAACCTACCGCCTCTGGCGTTGGAGCCTTACGGCACCTCAATGCATTCATGGGGTGTGCTCTACCCTCTACCTTCGTGATTTATTTAAAGACCAAATCATAATGAATAACATTTCTTAGGCTTAAACCCATAGCAGGGGTAGGAAATAGTTCAAACCTTCTGACTTACATGAACAAATACAATCTTCAAAAACTACTGTTTTCTAATCTGCATGAATGTACTGAACTCATTGCCGCCTTCATGTAAATGTGATGTATCAAAAGTGCTTTGTAAACTGTTAAATTCCAATGTTGATATTGTTATAGATATACTTTATTAAATACTGGATAATGATTTTATAAGCTACAGGGTGTTTAACTGTGAAATTATTCTAAAATATGTAGAAAAAATTTGGAATAATCTTCCCATTTTGAACACAATGATTGGTTTTAAAGTTCCCTTGATTTATATGTTTGTATACTGAGGATTCTCAATTGAGTGAACTAGTGTCTTTGCAATATAGTAAGATTTTGGTACAGTTTTTAATCTATCAAGGAAAAGGCTAGATAAGTAGGATCTCATTTGTTTCATGGACCATTATTTGAAGGATGATTTAAGACCATAGGAAATACTGACTCACCTTTTCTAAAAAGACAACTGATTTTCTTATGCTTTTAATTTCAAATTTATCTTGTCTCCTTTTGATTAATTAAAATAACAGTTATGAAAAACCTTAACAGAAAATATTATTTATTGAATCAGAAGAGAAACAGGAAATACTGTGCTTTCTTGAGCCTGTTTCCTATACCCCAATATCATAAGAATTGTTGTTGCTTCTATAATGTTCAGCTGCAAATTATTTTGCTTGATCAATCAAAATGAATTACCTGAATTTTCTCCTCTTGTTCAAAATGGAGCCACATTCATCCACCTACCCCTAGCCCTAGGACTGTTTCTTTCATTCCGATAGTTTGTGATATCCTTGACTTCACAGCAGAAAGCTGTGAGTCTCCCAAACCCCTTCACTCAGGTCCCGTGGGGCCTGCCCTCTAAAGTCTCTTCAGTCTTCTTTCTTTGTTCATGGCCACCTTGTCGTTTAGACTCTTATCCCTGACTGTAAGAGATCTCTCGGGTCTTCCTGCCTGTGGCCATGCCTAATTTGTACCCTTCCTAAAATGTGATGTGATCATGTCACTGCCTTGCTTAGAAGCCCTGCACTGGCGTCCAACACGTGCAGAATCAAGTGCTTGCTGTTTAACATGGTCTACCCAGTCCTCCAGATTCTGGCTTCCAGTTATTTTCTCAGCCTCAGAAAAGCACCTCGCTCTCCAAACATATCAAATAGCTTGTGCCCTTCTGCCTCCTGCTTACACCTCCATTCCTTCCCCTCTACCTGGATGCTCCTCCCTTCATGCGCCCCCTCGCAGTAAGCTCCCATGGATTCACTGGTTCTTGAGTGTTTTATTGCACTTTGCACCTCCCGTCTCTCACTCCTGACTTCTGTCTGTCTACCTGTCTTGACCGGCCATTTGCACTGCCTCTGGCTTATCTGCCTCATTCTGCTCGACAGTGTTGTTAGCTTCATATCTACTGGTTCTCTCAATTATTTCTCAGCCTCCCCACACCAGGCTCCTTGCCCCGTGTTTATAAGCTGCTATTGGCTTGAGGGTGACTGTGCCTTTCTAATAAAACTATTTTATAGACTGATAGTTACAAGGGTATAGTAGAAAAGAAATGAATCTACCTTTGAGTGTATTTCACCATATCTAGTGATCCATGAATATTTCTTCTTATTATTATCATTATTGTTATTTTTAAATAGACGATCAGGGAAGGCAGAGTCTAGGCCACCAATGTGAACTTGGACTTTCATCTTTATTAAGATATTTGGGATCTCTGCAAGTATTATGAATTTTAAATGGCATTCAATGATTTGATAAAATAGGAAATTTGTTTTACTCTGAACTGGGTAGCGTTTCAGCAACTGGCTACTGTGTCATTATTTCTATAAATTCAAAATGTAGAAGGAACATTTACCTTTTAACCATTCTCAACCGTTTTTCTTGGTGCACTCCTGCCTCTGTGATCTCATGAAGCCCAATGGCATTAAATTCCATGTATATGTGCGTGGTCCATGAACACATATTTCCAGCTCCTACCTCTCCTCTAAAATTTAGACTCATATCTAATTATCTGCCGATTATCACCACTTGGAAGACTAATAGACAACTCAACTACCACACATCCATAAGGGAATTCTTGATCCTCCACCTTCAACCCCTGGGCCCAACACTCCTCAGTCGTCTCCGTCTCAGTAAATAGCACTTCCAGTGTACCAGCCATTAGGCCAGAAAACTTGTCTTGACCCCTCTTTGTTTCTTACACCTCATATCGGCATACACTGTTGAACTGTATTAAGAATCTGAGCTTCCCTTGCCACACCCATTATGTACACCCTGCTTCACTTTACGTCATTGCTTTCATGGATTATGGAAATAGCCTCCCAACTCCTCTCCCACTTTCTCTTTCTCCCTGTACTTTTTTCTTCACTGAGCAACCAGAGTAAGTCCTTATTTATTTATTTATTTTTTTTTTTGAGACGGAGTCTCCTCTGTCGCCCAGGCTGGAGTGCAGTGGTGGAATCTGGGTTCACTACAACCTCTAACTCCTGGGTTAAAGTGATTCTCCTGCCTCAGCCTCCCAAGTAGCTGGGACTACAGGCATGCACAACCAAGCCTTGCTAATTTTTGTGTTTTTAATAGAGATGGGGTTTTGCCATGTTGGCCAGGCAGGTCTCAAACTCCTGACCTCAGGTGATCCAGAGTAAGTCTTTTCAAAGCATAAGGCAAATAATGTTTTCATCTGCTTAAAGCCTTCCATGGCTAGGAATGTTTTAAACCATCTTGTCCCCTGACACTTCTCTGATGTCTAGTCCAGTCAGTCTCCCCTCTATTTTTCAATCTTCAAAGACACCAGGCAGTTGTGCTTCTGCATCAGGGCCTTTGCATGTGTGGTCCCCTTTGCTTGGAATGCTTTCTCATCAGGAATCAGCATGGCTTACTTCCTCTCTTTTATATATTTTTATTTTATTTTATTATTATTATACTATAAGTTTTAGGGTACATGTACACAACGTGCAGGTTTGTTACATATGTATACATGTGCCATGTTGGTGTGCTGCACCCATTAACTCATCATTTAGCATTAGGTATATCTCCTAATGCTATCCCTGCCCCCTTCCCCTAACCCACAACAGTCCATGGTGTGTGATGTTCCCCTTCCTGTATCCATGTGTTCTCATTGTTCAATTCCCACCTATGAGGGAGAACATGCGGTGTTTGGATTTTTGTCCTTGAGCTAGTGTGCTGAGAATGATGGTTTCCAATTTCATCCATGTCCCTACAAAGGACATGAACTCATCATTTTTTATGGCTGCATAGTATTCCATCGTGTATATGTGCCACATTTTCTTAATCCAGTCTATCGTTGTTGGACATTCAGGTTGGATCCAAGTCTTTGCTATTGTGAATAGTGTTGCAATAAACATAAGTGTGCATGTGTCTTTATAGCAGCATGATTTATAGTCCTTTGGGTATATACCCAGTAATGGGATGGCTGGGTCAAATGGTATTTCTAGTTCTAGATCCCTGAGGAATCGCCACACTGACTTCCACAATGGTTGAACTAGTTTACAGTCCCACCAACAGTGTAAAAGTGTTCCTATTTCTCCACATCCTCTCCAGCACCTGTTGTTTCCTGACTTTTTAATGATCGCCATTCTAACTGGTGTGAGATGGTATCTCTTTGTGGTTTTGATTTGCATTTCTCTGATGGCCAGTGATGATAAGCATTTTTTCACGTGTTTTTTGGCTGCATAAATGTCTTCTTTTGAGAAGTGTCTGTTCATATCCTTCGCCCACTTTTTGATGGGGTTGTTTGTTTTTTTCTTCTTGATTTGTTTGAGTTCCTTACAGATTCTGGATATTAGCCCTTTGTCAGATGAGTAGGTTGCAAAAATTTTCTCTCATTCTGCAGGTTGCCTGTTCACTCTGATGGTAGTTTCTTTTGCTGTGCAGAAACGCTTTAGTTTAATTAGATCCCATTTGTCAATTTTGTCTTTTGTTGCCATTGTTTTTGGTGTTTTAGACATGAAGTCCGTGCCCATGCCTATGTCCTGAATGGTATTGCCTAGGTTTTCTTCTAGTTTTTTTATGGTTTTAGGTCTAATATGTAAGTCTTTAATCCATCTTGAATTGATTTTTGTATAAGGTGTAAGGAAGGGATCCAGTTTCAGCTTTCTACATATGGCTAGCCAGTTTTCCCAGCACCATTTATTAAATAGGGTATCCTTTCCCCATTTCTTGTTTTTCTCAGGTTTGTCAAAGATCAGATAGTTGTAGATATGTGGCATTATTTCTGAGGGTTCTGTTCTGTTCCAGTGTTCTACATCTCTGTTTTGGTACCAGTACAATGCTGCTTTGGTTACTGGGTACTGTAGCCTTGTAGTATAGTTTGAAGTCAGGTAGTGTGATGCCTCCAGCTTTGTTTTTTGGCTTAGGATTGACTTGGAGATGCCAGCTCTTTTTTGGTTCCAAATGAACTTTAAAGTAGTATTTTTTCAATTCTGTGAAGAAAGCCATTAGTAGCTTGATGAGAATGGCATTGAATCTATAAATTACCTTGGGCAGTATGGACATTTTCATGATATTGATTCTTCCATATTCCTACCCATGAGCATGGAATGTTCTTCCATTTGTTTGTATCTTCTTTTACTTCACTGAGCAGTGGTTTGTATTTCTCCTTGAAGAGTTCCTTCACATCCCTTGTAAGTTGGATTCCTAGGTATTTTATTCTCTTTGAAGTAATTGTGAATGGGAGTTCACTCATGATGTGGTTCTCTGTTTGTCTGTTATTGGTGTATAAGAATGCTTGTGATTTTTGCACATTGATTTTGTATCCTGAGACTTTGCTGAAGTTGCTTATCAGATTAAGGAGATTTTGGATTGAGATGATGGGGTTTTCTAGATATATAATCATGTCGTCTGCAAACAGGGACAATTTGACTTTCTCTTTTCGTAATTGAATACCCTTTATTTCCTTCTCCTGCCTGATTGCCCTGGCCAGAACTTCCAACACTATGTTGAATAGGAGTGGTGAGAGAGGGCATCCCTGTCTTGTGCCAGTTTTCAAAAGGAATGCTTCCTGTTTTTGCCTATTCAGTATGATATTGGCTGTGGGTTTGTCATAGATAGCTCTTATTATTTTGAGATACGTCCCATCAATACCTAATTTATTGAGAGTTTTTAGCATGAAATGTTGTTGAATTTTGTCAAAGGCCTTTTCTGCATCTATTGAGATAATCATGAGGTTTTTGTCTTTAGTTCTGTTTCTATGCTGGATTACATTTATTGATTTGCATATGTTGAACCACTGTTGCATCCCAGAGATGAAGCCCACTTGATCATGATGGATAAGCTTTTTGATATGCTGCTGGATTTGGTTTGCCAGTATTTTATTGCGGATTTTTGCATCAATGTTCATCAAGGATATTGGTCTAAAATTCTCTTTTTTGGTTATGTCTCTGCCAGGCTTTGGTATCAGGATGATGCTGGCCTCATAAAATGAGTTAGGGAGGATTCACTCTTTTTCTATTGATTGGAATAGTTTCAGAAGGAATGGTACTAGCTCCTCCTTGTACCTATGGTAGAATTCGACTGAATCCATCTGGTCCTGGACTTTTTGGTTGGTAAGCTATTGATTATTGCCTCAATTTCAGAGCCTGTTATTGTTCTATTCAGAGATTCAGCTCCTTCCTGGTTTAGTCTTCAGAGGATGTATGTGTCGAGGAATTTATCCATTTCTTCTAGATTTTCTAGTTTCTTTGTGTAGGGCTGTTTAAATTATTCTCTGATGGTAGTTTGTATTTCTGTGGGATCAGGGGAGATATCCCTTTATCATTTTTTATTGCGTCTATTTGATTCTTCTCTCTTTTCTTCTTTATTAGTCTTGCTAGTGGTCTATCAATTTTGTTGATCCTTTCAAAAAACCAGCTCCTGGATTCATTAATTTTTTGAGGGGTTTTTTGTGTTTTTATTTCCTTCAGTTCTGTTCTGATCTTAGTTATTTCTTGCCTTCTGCTAGCTTTTGAATGTGTTTGCTCTTGCTTTTCTAGTTCTTTTAATTGTGATATTAGGGTGTCAATTTTGGATCTTTCCTGCTTTCTCTTGTGGGCATTTAGTGCTACAAATTTCCCTCTCCACACTGCTTTGAATGTGTCCCAGATATGCTGGTATGTTGTCTCTTTGTTCTCATTGGTTTCAAAGAACATCTTTATTTCTGCCCTCATTTCGTTATGTACCCAGTAATCATTCAGGAGCATGTTGTTCAGTTTCTATGTAGTTGAGTGGTTTTGAGTGAGTTTCTTAATCCTGAGTTCTGGCTTGATTGCACGGTGGTGTGAGAGACAGTTTGTTATAATTTCTGTTCTTTTACATTTGCTGAGGAATGCTTACTTCCAACTATGTACTCAATTTTGTAATAGGTGTGGTGTGGTGCTGAAAAGAATGTATATTCTATTGATTTGAGGTGGAGAGTTTTGTAGATGTCTATCAGGTCCGCTTGGTGCAGAGCTGACTTCAATTCCTGGGTATCCTTGTTAACTTTCTGTCTCATTGATCTGTCTAATGTTGACAGTGGGGTATTAAAATCTCCCATTATTATTGTGTGGGAGTCTAAGTCCCTTTGTATGTCATTAAGGACTTGCTTTATGAATCTGGGTGATCTTGTATTGGGTGCATATATATTTAGGATAGTTAGCTCTTCTTGTTGAATTGATCCTTTACCATTATGTAATGGCCTTCTTTGTCTCCTTTGATCTTTGTTGGTTTAAAGTCTGTTTTATGAGAGACTAGGATTGCAACCCCTGCCTTTTTTGTTTTCCATTTGCTTGGTCGATCTTCCTCCATCCCTTTATTTTGAGCCTATGTTTGTCTCTGCACATGAGATGGGTTTCCTGAGTGCAGCACACTGATGGGTCTTGACTTTTTATCCAATTTGCCAGTCTGTGCCTTATAATTGGAGCATTTAGCCCATTTACATTTAAGGTTAATATAGTTATTTGTGAATTTGATCCTGTCATTAAGATGTCAGCTGGTTATTTTGCTCGTTAGTTGATGCAGTTTCTTTGTAGCCTCAATGGTCTTTACAATTTGGCATGTTTTTGCAGTGGCTGGTACCAGTTGTTCCTTTCCATGTTTAGCGCTTCTTTAAGGAGCTCTTTTTTTTTTAACATTGTTTTTCTCTTTATTTAAACGAGGTTGACCTTAAAAATCAAAGCAATATGAGAGTGATTTTACACTAGCAATATTATTTTTAGTTATTCAGATGAACAAAAAGAACATTCATCCGTTGAAGCTATGATTAAATAATTCTTTATCTATTTAAACTGAATAGTATACACTTGCATTATCCTAATACTTATCAAGCAGAGCAAAAAATAAAACTCACTCTAAACTTAAGTCATATAACTACAGGTTATTTCTCATCTTTGTTTTTGTTTTTTTTAAATTTTTTTATTATTATTATACTTTAAGTTTTAGGGTACATGTGCACAATGTGCAGGTTAGTTACATATGTATACATGTGCCATGCTGCTGCACTGCACCCACTAAGTCGTCATCTAACATTAGATATATCTCCGAATGCTATTCCTCCCCCCTCCCCCCACCCCACAACAGTCCCCAGACTGTGATGTTTCCCTTCCTGTGTCCATGTGTTCTCATTGTTCAATTCCCACCTATGAATGAGATTATGCGGTGTTTGGTTTTCTGTTCTTGCGATAGTTTACTGAGAATGATGATTTCCAATTTCATCCATGTCCCTACAAAGGACATGAACTCATTATTTTTTATGGCTGCATAGTATTCCATGGTGTATATGTGCCATATTTTCTTAATCCTTATCATTTTCTTATCATTGTTGGACATTTGGGTTGGTTCCAAGTCTTTGCTATTGTGAATAATGCTGCAGTAAACATACCTGTGCATGTGTCTTTATAGCAGCATGATTTTAGTCCTTTGGTTATACACCCAATAATCGGATGGCTGGGTCAAATAGTATTTTTTGTTCTAGATCCCTGAGGAATAGCCACACTGACTTCCACAATGGTTGAACTCGTTTACAGTCCAACCAACAGTGTAAAAGTGTTCCTATTTCTCCACATCCTCTCCAGCACCTGTTGTTTCCTGACTTTTTAATGATT
The DNA here is from genome assembly GCF_000001405.40 of Homo sapiens. NCBI lineage: Eukaryota > Metazoa > Chordata > Mammalia > Primates > Hominidae > Homo > Homo sapiens. The sequence continues at coordinate 12,319,434 of NC_000022.11, forward strand.
GCCATTCTAACTGGTGTGAGATGGTATCTCATTGTGGTTTTGATTTGCATTTCTCTGATGGCCAGTGATGGTGAGCATTTTTTCATGTGTTTTTTGGCTGCATAAATGTCTTCTTTTGAGAAGTGTCTGCTCATGTCCTTCGCCCACTTTTTGATGGGGTTGTTTGTTTTTTTCTTGTAAATTTGTTTGAGTTCATTGTAGATTCTGGATATTAGCCCTTTGTCAGATGAGTAGGTTGTGAAATTTTTCTCCCATTTTGTAGGTGCCTGTTCACTCTGACAGTAGTTTCTTTTGCTATGCAGAAGCTCTTTAGTTTAATTAGATCCCATTTGTCTATTTTGGCTTTTGTTGCCATTGCTTTTAGTGTTTTAGACATGAAGTCCTTGCCCATGCCTATGTTCTGAATGGTAATGCCTAGGTTTTCTTCTAGGTTTTTTATGGTTTTAGGTCTAATATGTAAGTCTTTAATCCATCTTGAATTGATTTTTGTATAAGGTGTAAGGAAGCGATCCAATTTCAGCTTTCCACATATGGCTAGCCAGTTTTCACAGCACCATTTATTAAATAGGGAATCCTTTCCCCATTTCTTGTTTTTCTCATGTTTGTCAAAGATCAGATAGTTGTAGATATGCGGCATTATTTCTGAGGGCTCTGTTCTGTTCCATTGGTCTATATCTCTGTTTTGGTACCAGTACCATGCTGTTTTGGTTACTGTATCCTTGTAGTATAGTTTGAAGTCAGGTAGTGTGATGCCTCCAGCTTTGTTCTTTTGGCTTAAAATTGACTTGGCGATGCCAGCTCTTTTTTGGTTCCATAGGAACTTTAAAGTAGTTTTTTCCAATTCTGGGAAGAAAGTCATTGGTAGCTTGATGGGGATGACATTCAATCTATCAATTACCTTGGGCAGTATGGCCATTTTCACGATATTGATTCTTCCTACCCATGAGCATGGAATGTTCTTCCATTTGTTTGTATCCTCTTTTATTTCAATGAGCAGTGGTTTGTAGTTCTCCGTGAAGAGGTCCTTCACATCCCTTGTAAGTTGGATTCCTAGGTATTTTATTCTCTTTGAAGACATTGTGAATGGGAGTTCACTCATGATTTGGCTCTCTGTTTTTCTGTTGTTGGTGTATATGAATGCTTGTGATTTTTGTATGTTGATTTTGTATCCTGAGACATTGCTTAATTTGCTTATCAGCTTAAGGAGATTTTGGGCTGAGACAATGGGGTTTTCTAGATATACAATCATGTTGTCTGCAAACAGGGACAATTTGACTTCCTCTTTTCATAATTGAATACCCTTTATTTCCTTCTCCTGCCTGATTGCCCTGGCCAGAACTTCCAACACTATGTTGAATAGGAGTGGTGAGAGAGAGCATCCCTGTCTTGTGCCAGTTTTCAAAGGGAATGCTTCCAGTTTCTGCCCATTCAGTATGAATGGGTTTGGCATAGATATCTCTTATTATTTTGAGATACGTCCCATCAATACCTAATTTATTGAGAGTTTTTAGTATGAAGTGTTGTTGAATTTTGTCAAAGGCCTTTTCTTCATCTATTGAGATAATCATGTCGTTTTTGTGTTTGGTTCTGTTTCTATGCTGGATTACATGTATTGATTTGCCTATATTGAACCAGCCTTGCATCCTGAGAATGAAGCCCACTTGATTATGTTGGATAAGCTTTTTGATGTGCTGCTGGATTCGGTTTGTCAGTATGTTATTGAGGATTTTTGCATCAATGTTCATCGAGTATGTTAGTTTAAAATTCTCTTTTTTGGTTGTGTCTCTGCCAGGCTTTGGTATCAGGATGATGTTGGCCTCATAAAATGGGTTAGGGAGGATTCACTCTTTTTCTATTGATTGGAATAGTTTCAGAAGGAATGGTACCAGTTCCTCCTTGTACCTCCGGTAGAATTCGGCTGTGAATCCATCTGGTCCTGGACTCCTTTTCGTTGGTAAGCTATTGATTATTGCCACAACTTCAGCTCCTGTTTTTGTTGTATTCAGAGATTCAACTTCTTCCTGGTTTAGTCTTGGGAGAGTGTATGTGTCGACTAATTTATCAATTTCTTCTAGATTTTCTAGTTTATTTGCACAGAGGTGTTTGTAGTATTCTCTGATGGTAGTTTGTATTTCTATGGGATCGGTGGTGATATCCCTTTTATCATTGTTTATTGTGTCTATTTGATTCTTCTCTTTTTTTCTTTATTAGTCTTGCTAGTGGTCTATCTTTTTTTGATCCTTTCAAAAAACCAGCTTAAGGAGCTCTTTTAGGGCAGACCTGTTGGAGACAAAATCTCTCACCATTTGCGTGTCTGTAAAGTATTTTATTTCTACTTCATTTATGAAGCTTAGTTTGGCTGGAAATGAAATTCTGGGTTGAAAATTCTTTTCTTTAAGAATGTTGAATATTGGCCCCCAGATGTTAGTCTGATGGGCTTCCCTTTGTGGGTCACCCAACCTTTCTCTCAGGCTGCCCTTAACATTTTTTCATTCATGTCAACTTTGGTGAATCTGACAATTATGTGTCTTGGAGTTGCTATTCTCGAGGAGTACGTTTGTGGCCTTCTATGTATTTTCTGAATTTGAATGTTGGCCTGTCTTGCTAGATTGGGGAAGTTCTCCTGGATAATATCCTGCAGAGTGTTTTCCAATTTGGTTCCATTCTACCCGTCACTTTCAGGTACACCAATCAGACATAGATTTGGTCTTTTTACATAGTCCCGTATTTCTTGGAGGCTCTGTTCATTTCTTTTTATTCTTTTCTGCTAAACTTCTCTTCTCGCTTCATTTCATTCCTTTTGTCTTCCATCACTGATACCCTTTCTTCCAGTTGATCGCATCGGCTACTGAGGCTTCTGCATTCATCACGTAGTTCTCATGCCTTGGTTTTCAGCTCCATCAGGTCCTTTAGGGACTTCTCTGCATTGGTTATTCTAGTGATCCATTCATCTATTTTTTTTTCAAAGTTTTTATCTTCTTTGCCATTGGTTCGAATCTCCTCCTGTAGCTCAGAGAAGTTTGATCATCTGAAGCCTTCTTGTCTCCACTCATCGAAGTCATTCTCCATCCAGCTTTGTTCCATTGCTGGTAAGGAGTTGTGTTCCTTTGGAGGCGGAGAGGTGCTCTGAAGTTTAGAGTTTCCAGTTTTTCTGCTCTATTTGTTTCCCATCTTTGTGGTTTTATCTAACTTGGGCTTTGATGATGGTTATGTACAGATGGGTTTTTGGTGTGAATGTCCTTTCTGTTTATTAGTTTTCCTTCTAACAGTTGGGACCCTCAGCTGCAGGTCTGTTGGAGTTTACTGGAGGTCCATTCCAGACCCTGTTTGCCTGCTTATCAGCAGCGCTCACTGCAGAACAGCAGATATTGGTGAACTGCAGATGCTGCTGCCTGATTGTTCCTCTGGAAATTTTGTCTCAAAAGAGTACCAGGCTGTGTGAGGTTTCAGTCCTACCATACTTGGGGGTGCCTCCCAGTTAGGCTACTCAGGAGTCAGGGACCCACTTGAGGAGGCAGTCTGTCCATTCTCAGATCTCAAGCTGCAAGCTGGGAGAACCACTACACTCTTCAAAGCTGTCAGAGAGGGATATTTAAGTCTGCAGCGGTTACTGCTGTCTTTTTGTTTGTCTGTGCCCTGCCCCCAGAGGTGGAGCCTACAGAGGCAGGCAGGCCTCCTTGAGCTGCGGTGGGCTCCACCCAGTTCCCGCTTCCTGGCCACTTTGTTTACGTACTCATGCCTTAGCAATGGCGGGCATCCCTCCCCCAGCCTCACTGCCACTTTGCAGTTTGATCTTAGACTGCTGTGCTAGCAATGAGTGAGGCTCCGTGGACGTAGGACTCTCTGAGCCAGGTGCAGGATATAATCTCCTGGTGTGACATTTTTTAAGCCTGTTGGAAAAGCACAGTGTTAGGTTGGGAGTGACCCGATTTTCCAGATGCCATCTGTCACCACTTTCTTTGACTAGGAAAGGGAATTCCCTGACCCCTTGCACTTCGCTGGTGAGGCAATGCCTTGCCCTGCTTCGGCTCATGCACGGTGCACTGCACCCACTGTCTGGCACTCCCCAGTGAGTTGAACCTGGTAACTCAGTTGGAAATGCAGAAATCACCCGTCTTCTGCGTCACTCACACTGGGAGCTGTAGAGCGGAGCTGTTCCTATTCGGCCTTCTTGGCTCCTCCCCCCCACATTCATTTTAAGGATAAATAATATTCTGTTGTGTGTATATACCATATTTTCTTCATCTGTTTGACTCTTAGAAGATATCTGGATTTCTTTTTAAATTTTTTACTGTAAATGATGCTGCTATAAAATTTGGTTTGAAAGTATCAGTGCAGAAGTGAATAAAATTTTAAAACCTGAACACATTTCTGCATGCAGTTCTTAGATTGAATAATGGAGTCCAGGCATGGTGGTTCACACTTGTAATCCCAAAACTTTGGGAGGCTGAGGCAGGCAGATCACTTAAGCTCAGGAGTTCGAGACCAGCCATGGAAACATGGCAAAACCCCATCTCTACTAAAAATTCAAAAATTAGCTGGGCATTGTGGTGCTTGCTTGTAGTCCCAGCTATTTGGGAGACTGAGGCACAAGGATCACTTAATTTTCATTTCTCTAACTATCATTGATTCTGAGCTTTTTCTCATACACTTGTTGGCCTCATGTATGTCTTCTTTCGAAAACTGTCCGTTCATGTCTTTGCCCACTTTTTAATGGGGTTGTTTTTCTTTTGTAAATTTAAGTTCCTTATAGATGCTAGATATTAGACCTTTGTTAGATGGATAGTTTACAAATATTTTTTTTCCACTCCATAGGTTTTCTGTTTACTCTGTTAATAGTTTTTTTTTTCTGCTATGCAAAATCTCTTTACTTTAATTAAATCCTACTTGTTAATTTTTGCTTTTCTTGCTGTTGCTTTTGGTCTTTCTATCATGAAATCTTTGCCCATTCCTATATCCAGGATGGTATTGCCTGGAATGTCTTTCATGGTTTTTATACATAAAGATTTTATATTTAAGTCTTCAATCAGTCTTGAGTTGATTTTTTTTTGTATATGATGTAAATAAGGGGTCCAGCTTCAATCTTCCACATGTTGCCAGCCAATTATTCCAGCACCACTTATTGAATAAATAATCTTTTTCTCATTGCTTGTTTTTGTCAGCCTTGTCAATTATCACATGGCATAGATGTGCAGCCTTGTTTCTGGGCTCTCTATTCTGCTCCATTTGTCTATGTGTCTGTTTTTATCAATATTATGCTGTTTTCGTTACTATAGCCCTGTAGTGTAATTTGAAGCCAGGCAACCTGATGCCTGCAGCTTTGTTCTTTTTTGCTTAGGATTGCCTTGACTATGTGTGCTCCTTTTTGGTTTCATATATATAATTTTTTTTTGATGGAATGTCACTCTGTCATCAGGCTGGAGTGCAGTGGTGCAATCTCAGCTCACTGCAACCTCTGACTACCTGGTTCAATGGATTCTCCTGCCTCAGCCTCCCGAGTAGCTGGGATTACAAGCACTTGCCACTACACCCAGCTATTAAAAAATTAGTTGAGAAGGAGTTTCACCATGTTGGCCAGGATGGTCTCGATCTCCTGACCTCATGATCTGCAGCCCTCGGCCTCCCAGAGTGCTGGGATTACAGGCGTGAGCCACTGCACCCAGCCTATAGGAATTTTAAAATAGTTTTTTCTAGCTCTGTAAAAAATTTTATTGGCAGTTTGATGGAAATAGCATTAAATCTGTCAATTGCTTTGTGAAGTATAGCCATTTTAGTTATATTGGATCTTCCTATCCATGAGCATGAGGTGGTTTTCCATTTGTTTGTGTCTTCTCTGATTTATTTGAGCAGTGTTTTGTAATTCTCACTGTAGAGCTCTTTCACCTCCCTGGTGAGCTGCATTTCCAGGTATTTTATCATTTTTGTGGCAATTGTGAATGGGATGGCCTTTCTGATTTTGCTGTCAGTGTGGTTATCATTGGTGTAGAGAAATGTTAGTGATCTTTGCACATTGATTTAGTATCTTGAAAATTCGCTGAAGTTGTTTGTTAACTAAAGAAGCTTTGTACCTGAAACTACAGGGTTTTCTAGATATAGAATTATGTTATTTGCAAACAGAAATAGTTTGGCTTTCTCTCTTCCTATTTGGATGCTTTTTGTATTTCTTTCTCTAGCCTGATTGCTCTGGTCAGGACTTTCAATACTATGTTGAATAGAAATGGTGAGAGAGGGCATTCTTGCCTTGTGCTGGTTTTCAGAAAAAAAGCTCCCAACTTTGCCCATTCAACAGATTGTTGGCTGTGGGTTTTTTATACACGGCTTTTATTACTTTCTGCATCTATTGGGATAATCGTCTGTTTTTTGTATTTAGTTCTGTTTATGTGATGTATTACATTTATTGATTTGCACATGCTGGGCCAACCTTGCATCCTAAGGAGGCAGCCTACTTGATAATGACGGATTACCTGTTTGATGTGCTGCTGGATTTGGTTTACAAATATTTTTCTGAGAACTTTTGTATTGATGTTTGTGAAGAATATTGGCCTGAAGTTTTCTTTTCTTTCTTTCTTTTTTTTTTTTGATGGAGTCTCCCTCTGTTGCCCAGGCTGGAGTGCACTGGTGCAATCTCTGCTTAATGCAAGCTCCGCCTCCTGGGTTCATGTCATTCTCCTGCCTCAGCCTCCCAAGTAGCTGGGACTACAGGTGTCTGCTACCAAGCCCGGTTAATTTTGTGTTTTTGTTGTGTCTCTGCCAGGTTTTGGTGTCAAGATCATGCTGTCCTTATAGAATGAGTTGGGGAGGAGACCGTCCTCCTCAATTTTTGGGGATAGTTTCTGTAGGAATTGTACCAGCTCTTCCTTGTACATTTGGTAGAATTTGGCTGTAAATCCATAAAGTCCAGGGCTTTTATTTTTTTGATTGGCAAGCTACTTATTACCTATATAATATCAGAGCTTTTTATTGGTCCATTCAGGAAATAATTGTCTTCCTGGCTTAATCTTGGGAGAGTGTGTATATCTAGTAATGTATCCATTTCTTTAAAGTTTTCTAGTTTGTGTGTATAAAGGTGTTCATGTTAGTACTGACCCCACATAAATGAAAACAACCATTAGAAACCACTAATGTTGAACACTTATGTCTTTAATCTATTTTTATTTAATTTTTGTACTTGGAATGTGATAAAGATTCAACTTTACTGGTTTCAATGTGGACTTGTTTTCCCAGCATTTATTGTGGAACAAACTGTCCTTTTCTTTAGATAATGATTAAGGCACCCTTGTCAAAAGACAATCAATAATTTATGCAAGGGTTTTTTTGATTATATATTTTATTTATTTGATCTCTACAATTGTTCTTATGCCACTAGCAAACTGTTATAATTATAGTAGCTTTGTATGTTTTCAAATTTAAAATTGTGAGCCATCTAATTTTGTTCTTCCTTTCAAGATTATTCTGTACATTCAGAGGATTTTCAAATTCCATAAGAAGTTTTAAATGAATTATTTTGTTTTTGCAAAAGAAAAGTTGGAAAAATTAAAAATTGGGATTACAGTACATCTGTACACTACTTTGGGTAGTAGTATTGTCATCTGAACTTCATTAAGTCTTCCGGTTCAGGAACATGGAATTTGTTGCCAGTTATTTAACTCCTTTTTAGTTTTTTTCATAAATATTCTGATCCTGTATTTTTTATTGTACAAAATATGTACCTTCTTATTAAATTTATTTCTAAGAATTATATTATTTTAATGTTGTTGCAAACAATTGTTTTATTAATTTACTGTCAAATTGTTCATTTTTGGTATATGGAAATGCACTTTATGTTTCTGTGTTGTAAAAATAATTATTTCATCTCTCAAATCTAGATTAGCAATTAATTCAGAATAAATATGCCATATAAACTGGTAGTCATTTAACTTTTTCCAATAAGCTAACCAATTACAATATGTCTAAATATGTAAAAAGGTTGAATTGTGTTAGATTTTCACTTACTGCCACCTGTCATTTATCAGTCAGAATTACATTACTGCACACATAGAACTTTCATTCCTGGGGCCGGGCATGGTGGCTCATGCCTATATTCCTAGCACTTTGTGAGGCCAAGGCAGGCGGACCACCTGAGATCAGGAGTTCGAGACCACCCTGACTAACATGGTAAAACCCCGCCTCTACTAAAAATAGAAAAATAAGCTGAGTGTGGTAGTGGGAGCCTGTACTCCAGCTACTTTGGAGGCTGACACAGGAGAATCACTTGAACAATCCCACAACACAAAACAACAAAAGTTAGTCTTCATGTCAAAAATCTTCAATGGATTTTTTTTCATCACAGGATTGTTTAGTGCAACATTTTATGGAAAAGATGCATGCTACTGAGATGTAGTTCTATAAAAGTCTCTTAGAGTTTGTCATTTTGTTGTGTCTTACATCACATACCTGTCCTGTTCCAGGCTATTTTTCAAAGATTTTTGTACACAAATAACCTGGAAAAAGGGTAGTAGTTTTTCTCTTCAGGTGAATGGCAGATAAATTACTCAATCAATATAATAAAGACAATTTTTCTCTGTGAGGCAAAGGTTGGACAGGTTTGCATGTAACCTACTTTAAGAAGATTGAGGTTTCTTAGTCTTGAGTCTGCTCAGCTGTGACACAAATCTTCCCCATGTGCAATGTCCATCTGAGCCTTTTGAAATCCCTCTAAAAAATGTAGTATGGACAAGGAGAACTAATACAAAAATGAGGCTTTTGCCTCCAGGTAGACAGTAAATAGTAGGTTTTTTTTTCATACTTCAGTGTCTCATGCCTTCTACCAGCATCCATGAAAATGGAAGGTTAATAGGTTCGTTTACAAATAGGATGAAATCTTAGATCCTTCACAATTATTTAATTTTGGAGATGACAATGGGATGCTGAGATAAACGCAACTTTCTGAAAGGGGAAAATACACAAATACTTGAAGAGCTTGCAAGGGTTATGAGAAGTTCCCCTAGGACTAACAGCAACTTCTCTCAGCCAAGTGGTTAGTTTGGTGAAACAAGGGATCAAGACTCTGCTGTCTGCTAATGAGACTGATTCTTGAGAGGATTATAACAATGAGCCTGAGAGCTTTGCATGTTCATTTTTCTCCTGCTGGAAAGATCAAGGAGCTCTTAAAATTAATGTTGAGGGTTGGATGAGTCCAAAGCACTAGAAGTTCACCTCTGTGAGATGAATGCACATATCACAAAGAAGTTTCTCAGAATGCATCTGTCTAGTTTTTATGTGAAGATATTTCCTTTTGCACCATAGGAGGCAAAACGCTCCAAATATACACTTGCAGATGGTACAAAAAGAGTGTTTCAAAACTACTCGAACAAAAGAAATGTTCAACTCTGTGAGATGAGTGCACACATCACAGAGAAGTTTCTCAGAATGCTTCTGTCTAGTTTTTATTTGAATATATTTGTTTTACACCATAGGCCTCTAAGCGCTCCAAATATCCACTTGCAGATTCACCAAAAACAGTGTTTCAAAACTGTTCAATCAAAATAAAGGTTTAAATCTGTGAGATGAATGCACACATCACAAAGAAGTTTCTCAAAATGCATCTGTCTAGTTTTGATGCAAAGATATTTGCTTTTCCACAAAGGCCTAAAAGCACTCCAAATATTCACTTGCAGATTCTACAAAAAGAGTGTTTCAAAACTGCTCGATCAAAAGAAAGGTTCAACTCTGTGAGATGAATGCACAAATCACAGAGAAATTTCTCAGAATGCTTCTGTCTAGTTTATATGTGAAGATATTTCCTTTTCCACCATAGACCTCAAACCGCTTCAAATATCCATTTACAGATACTACAAAAAGAGTGTTTCAAAACTGCTCAATCAAAAGAAAGGTTCAACTCTGTCAGATGAATGCACACATCACAAAGAAGTTTTTCAGAATTCTTCTGTCCAATTTTTATGTGAAGATACTTCCTTTTACACCATATGCAGCAAAGCGCTCCAAATACCCTCCTGCAGATTCTACAAAATTAGTGTTTCAACACTGCTCAATCAAAAGAAAGTTCCTCTCTGTGAGATGAATGCATACATCACAAAGAAATTTCTCAGAATGCTTCTGTGTAGTTTTTATTTGATGATATTTCCTTTTCCACAATAGGCCTTAAAGCGCTCCAAATATCCACTTGCAGATTCTCCAAAGGAGTGTGTCAAAACTGTTCAATCAAAAGAAAAATTTAACTCTGTGAGATGAATGCACACATCACCAAGAACTTTCTCAGAATGCTTCTGTCTAGTTTTTATGTGAAGATATTTCCATTTCCACTGTGGGCCACAAAGGGCTCCAAATATCCACTTGCAGATTCTACAAAAAGAGTGTTTCAAAACTGCTAAATCAAAAGAAAGGTTCTACTCTGTGAGTTGAATGCACACAACAAAGAAGTTTCTCAGAATGCTTCCGTCAATTTTTTATGTGGAGATATTTCCTTTTCCACCATAGGCCCCTAAGTTCTCCAAATATCCACTTGCAAATTCTACAAAAAGAGTGAAAACTGCTGAATCAAAAGAAAGGTTCACCACTGTAAGATGAATGTACACGTCACAAAGAAGTTTCTGAGAAAGATTCTGTCTAGTTTTTATGTGAAGATATACCCTTTTGCACCGTAGACCTCAAAATGATCCATATATCCATTTGCAGATTCTACAAAAAGAGTGTTTCAAAACTGCTCAATCAAAAGAAAGGTTAAGTTCTGTGAGATGAATGCACACATTACAAAGAAGTTTCTCAGAATGCTGCTGTCTAGTTTTTATGTGAAGATGTTTCATTTTCCACCATACGCCTCAAAGCGCTCTAAATATCCACTTGCAGATTCCTCAAAAAGAGTGTTTCAAAACAGCTCAATCAAAAGAAAGGTTCAACTCTGTGAGATGAATGCACACATTACAAAGAAGTTTATCAGAATGCTTCTGTCTAGTTTTTAAGTGAAGATATTTCCTTTTCCTCCATAGGCCTCAAAGAGCTCCAAATATCCTCTAGCAGATTCTACAAAAAGAGTGTTTCAAAACTGCTTAATCAAAAGAAATGTTCAACTCTGTGAGAGGAATGCACACATCACAAATAAGTTTCTCAGAATGTTTCCTCTAGTTTTTATGTGAAGATATTTCCTTTTCCACCATAGTCCTCAAAGCGCTCCAAATATCCACTGGCCGATTCTCCAAAAAGAACATTTCAAAACTGCTCAATCAAAAGAAATTTTCAAATCTGTGAGAGGAATCTGTACATCACAAAGAAGTTTCTCAGAATGCTTCCGTGTAGCTTTTATGTGAAGATATTCCCTTTTCCACTATAGGCCTCAAGTGGCTCCAAATGTCCACTTGCAGATTCTACAAAAAGAGAGTTTCAAAACTGCTCAGTCAAAAGAAAGGTTAAACTCTCTCTGATGAATGCACACATCACAGAGAAGTTTCTCAGAATGCTTCTGTCAAGTTTTTTATGTGGAGATATTTCCATTCCACCATCGGCCCCTAAGCACTCCAAATAGCCACTTACAGATTCTTCAAAAAGCGTGTTTCAAAACTGCTGAATCAAAAGAAAGGTTCAACTCAGTGAGTTGAATGCACATATCAGAAAGAAGTTTCTCAGAATGCTTCTGTCTAGTTTGTATGTGAAGGTATTTCCTTTTCCGTCATACTCATCAAAGAGTTCCAAATATTCACTTGCACATTCTACAAAAAGAGTGTATCAAATCTGCTCAATGAAAACAATGGTTCAATTTGGTGAGATAAGTGAACACATCACGAGGAAGTTTTGCAGAATGCTTCTGTCTAGTTTTTCTGTGAAAATATTTCCTTTACTACCATAGGACACAATCGCTCCAAATATCGACTTTCAGATTCTACAAAAAGGGTGTTTCAATACTGCTCGATGAAAGGAAAGATTCAACCCAGTGAGATGAACGCACACATCACAAAGAAGTTTCTCAGAAGGCTTCTGTCTAGTTTTTATGTGAAGATATTTCCTTTTAAACCATAGGACACAATTCGCTCCAAATATCCACTTGCAGTTTCATCAAAAAGACTGTTTCAAAACCCTCAATCAAAAGAAAGTTTCAACACTGTGAGATGAATGCACACATTACAAAGAAGTTTCTCAGAATACTTCTGTCTAGTTTTTATGTGAAGATATTTCCTTTTCCACCACAGGCCTGAAAGCACTCCAAATATCCACTTGCAGATTCTACAAAAAGAGTATTTCAAAACAGCTCCATCAAAAGAATGGTTCATCTTGGTGAGATGAATGCACACATCACAAAGAAGTTTCTCAGAGTGTTTCTGTCTAGTTTTTATGTGAAGATATTTCCTTTTCCACCACAGACCACAAATCGCTCCAAATAGCCACTTGCATATACAACAAAAAGAGTGTTTCAAAACTGCTCAATCAAAAGAAAGGTTCAACTCTGTGAGATGAAGGCACTTATCACAGAGAAGTTTCTCAGAATGCTTCTGTCTAGTTTATATGTGAAGATATTTCCTTTTCCAAGATAGACCTCAAACCGCTTCAAATATCCATTTACAGATACTACAAAAAGAGTGTTTCAAAACTGTTCAATCAAAAGAAAGGTTCAAATCTGTGAGTTGAATGCACAGATCACCAAAAGTTTCTCAGAATGCTTCTGTCTAGTTTTTATGTGAAGATAGTTCCTTTTCCACAATAGGCCCCAAAACGCTCCAAATATCCCCTTGCAAACACTACAAAAGATTTTTTAAAAACTGCTAAATCTTCTTAATCCAGTCTATATGCACCATGGAATACTATGCAGCCATAAAAAATGATGAGTTCATATCCTTTTTAGGGACATGGATGAAATTGGAAGTCATCATTCTCAGTAAACTATCGCAAAACAAAAAACCAAACACCGCATATTCTCACTCATAGGTGGGAATTGAAAAATGAGATCACATGGACACAGGAAGGGGAACATCACACTCTGGGGACTGTTGTGGGGTGGGAGGAGGGGGGAGGGATAGCATTGGGATATATACCTAATGCTATATGACGAGTTAGTGGGTGCAGCACACCAGCATGGCACACGTATACATATGTAACTAACCTGCACAATGTGCACAAGTACCCTAAAACTTAAAGTATAATAATAATAGAAACTACTCAATCAAAAGAAATGTTCAACTTTTTGAGATGAATGCACACATCACAAAGAAGTTTCTCAGAATGCTTCTATTTTTTATGTGAAGATATTTCCTTTTCCAAAATAGGCCAGAAAGGTCTGCAAATATCCACTTGCAGATTTTACAAAAAGAGAGAATCAAAACTTCTCAATCAAAAGATAGGTTCAGCTGTGTGAGTCGAATGCAGACATCACAAAAAAGTTTCTGAGACTGCGTCTGTGTGGTTTTTATGTGAAGATATTTCCTTTTCTACCATAGGCTTCAAAGCGCTCCAAATATCCACTTGCAGGTTCTAGAAAAGAGTGTGTCCAAATTGGTCAATCAAAAGAAAGATCAACTCTCTGAGATGAATGCACACATCACAAAGAAGTTTCTCAGAATGCTTCTGTCTAGTGTTTATGTGAAGATATTTTCTTTTCCACAACAGGCCACAAAGCACTCCAAATATACACGTCCAAATTCTACAAAAAGAGTGTTTCGAAATTGCTCAATCAAAAGAAAGGTTCAACTCTGTGAGATGAATGCACACATTACAAAGACGTTTCTCAGAATGCTTCTTCATAGTTTTTATGTGAGGATGTTTCCTTTTCCACCATAGGTCTAAATGGGCTCCAAATATCCACTTGCAGATTCTACAAAAAGAGTGATTAAAAACTGCTCAATCAAAGGATAGATTCAACTCACTGAGATGAATGCACACATCCCAAATAAGTTTCTCAGAATGCTTCTGTGTAGTTTCTATGTGAAGATATTTCCTTTTCCGCCAAAGATCTCAAAGCGCTAAAAATATCCCCTTGGAGATTCTACAAAAAGAGTGTTACCAAACTGCTCAATAAAAAGAAAGGTTCAACTCTGTGTGATGAATGCACACGTCACAAAGTAGTTTCTCACAATGCTTCTTTGTAGTTTTTATGTGAAGATATTTCCTTTTCCACAATAGGCCTCAAAGTGCTTGAAACATTGACTTGCACATTCTACAAAATGAGTGTTTCAAAACTGCTTAATCAAAAGAAAGGTTCAGCTTTTTGAGATGAATGCACACAACACAAAGAAGTTTCTCAGAATTATTTTGTGTGGTTTTTATGTGAAGGTATTTCCTTTTTCACACTTGGCTGCACAACGCACCAAGTATCCACTTACAGAATCTGCAAAGATAGAGTTTCAAAACTGCTCTATAAAAAGATAAGCTCAACCCGATGACTTGAATGCACACATCTCAAAGAGGTGTCTCAGAATGCCTCTGCGTACTTTTTATGTAAAGATATTTCCTATTACACCATTCACCACAAAGTGCTCCAAACATCCACCTGCAGATGTTACAAAAAGAGTGTTTCCAAAGTGATCAATGAAAAGAAAGGTTCAACTCTATGAGACGAATTCACACATCATGAAGAAGTTTCTCACAATACTTTTGTGTAGTTTTTATGTGAAGATATTTCCTTTTCCAAAATAGGCCCTAAAGGGCTCCAAATATCCCCTTGCAGATTCTACAAAAAGGGGGTTTCAAAAGTGCTCAATAAAAAGAGAGATTAAACTCTTTGAGGGGAATGCACACATCGCAAAGAAGTTTCTCAGAATGCTTCTGTGTAGTTTTTATGTGAAGATATTTCCTTTTCCACAGTAGGCCTCAAAGGGCTACAAATATACACTTGCAGAATCTACAAAAAGAGTGTTTCAAAACTGTTCAATCAAAAGAAAGGTTCAAGTCTGTGAGTTGAATGCACACATCATAAAGAAGTTTCTCAGAATGCTTCTGTGCAGTTTTTATGTGAAGATATTTCCTTTTCCACAATTTGCCTCAAAGCGCTGCAAATATCCACCTGCAGATTCTGTAAAGATTGTTTCCAAACTGCGCAAAGAAAAGAAAGGTTCAACTTCGTGAGATTAATGGACTCATTACAAAGTAGTTTATCAGAATGCTTCTGTGTCATTTTTATGTGAAGATATTTTCTCTTCCACATTAGGCCTCAAAGTGTTTCAAATATCCACTTGCTTATTCTATTAAAAGAGAGTTTCCAAACTGTTCAGTCTAAAGAAAGGTTCAAATCTGTGAGATGAATGTGCACATCACAAAGAAGTTTCTCAGAGTGCTTCTGTGTAGTTTTTATGTGAAGGTATTTCCTTTTACACAGTAGGCCATAAAGGGCTCCAAATATTCACTTGCAGATTCTCCAAAAAGAGAGTTTCTAAAATCCTCTACCAATAGATAGGTAGAACTCTGTGAGTTGAATGCACACATCACAAAGAAGTTTCTCAGAATGCTTCTGTATAGTTTTTATGTGAAGATATTTCAATTTCCACAATAGTACTCAAAGAGCTCTAAATATCCACTTTTAGATTCTACTAAAAGAGTGTTTTCAAACTGCTCAATCAAAAGAATGGTAAAACACCGTGAGATGAATGCAAAAATCACAAAGAAGTTTCTCAGAATGCTTCTGTGTAGTTTTCATGTGAAGATATTTCCTTTTCCACAATGGGCCTCAAAGCGCTCTGTGAGATGAATGCACACGTCACAAGACATTTCCCAGAATGATTCTGTGTACTTTTCTTGTGAAGATACTTCCTTTTCCACAATAGTCCTCAAAGCTCTCCAAATATCCACTTGCAGATTCTACAAAAACTGTGTTTCAAAAATGCTCAATCAAAAGAAATGTTCTACTCTGTGAGATGAATGCAACATCACCAAGAAGTTTCTCAGAATGCTTCCATGTAGTTTTTATGTGAAGATATTTCCTTTTACACCATAGACCTCAAATCGCTCCACCTATCCACTTGCAGATTCTACAAAAAGAGTGTTTCCAAACTGCTCATTCAAAAGAAAACTTCAACTCTGTGAGATGAGTAAACACCTCGCAAAGAAGTTTCACAGAATGATTCTGTGTAGTTTTTATGTGAAGATATTTCCTTTTCCACAATAGGCCTCAAAGCACTCCTAATATCCACTTGCAGATTCTACAAAAAGAGTGTTTCAAAACTGCTCAATCAAAAAAAGTTTCAATTCTGTGAGTTGAAAGCACAAATCACAAAGAACTTTCTAAGAATGCTTCTGTGTAGTTTTTATGTGAAGATATTTCATTTTCCACAATAGACCTCAAAGAGCTCCAAATGTCCACTTCTAGACTCTACAAAAAGAGAGTTTCCAAAGTGCTAATGAAAAGAAGGGTTCAATTCTGTGAGATGAATGCATACATCACAAAGAAGTTTCTCAGAATGCTTCTGATTACTTTTTATGTGAAGATATTTCCTTTTCCACAATAGGCCTCAAAGGGCTCCAAATATCCACTTGCAGATTGTACAAGAAGAGTGTTTCAAAAATGCTTAATGAAAAGAAAGTTTCAACTCTGTGAGGTGAATGCACACTTCACAAGAAATTTCTCAGAATGCTTCTGTGTAATTTTTATGTGAACATACTTCCCTTTCCACAATAGTCAACAAAGCCCTGCAAATATCCACTTGCACATTCTAGAAAAAGAGTGTGTCAAAACTGCTCAATCAAAAGAAAGTTTCAACCCTGTGAGGTGAATGCACACATCACAAAGAAGTTTCTCAGAACGCTTCCGAGTAGTTTTTATGTGAAGATATTTCCTTTTCAACCATAGGCCTAAAAGCACTCCAACTATCCACTTGCAGATTCTACAAAAAGAGTGTTTCCAAATTGCTCAATCTAAAGAAAACTTCAACTCCATGAGGTGAGTAAACACAACGCAAAGAAGTTTCACAGAATGATTCTCTATAGTTTTTATGTGATGATATTTTCTTTTCCACAATAGACCTAAAAGCACTCCAAATATCCACTTGCAGATTCTACAAAAAGAGTGTTTCAAAACTGCTCAATCAAAAAAAGGTTCAAATCTGTGAGATGAATGCACACATCACAATGCAGTTTCTCAGAATGCTTCTGTGTAGTTTTTATGTGAAGATATATCCTTTTCCAAAATAGGCCTCAAGGAGCTCCAAATATCCACTTACAGATTCTAGAAAAAGCGTGTTTCCAAAGTGCTCAATCAAAAGAAGAGTTCAATTCTGTGAGATGAATGCATACATCACAAAGAAGTTTCTCAGAATGTTTCTGTTTAGTTTTTATGTGAAGATATTTACTTTTCCACAACAGGCCTCAAAGCCCTCCAAATATCCCCTTGCAGATTCTACAGAAAGAGAGATTAAAAACTTCTCAATCAAAAGAAAGGTTCAACTCTGTGAGATGAATGCCCACATCACAAAGAAGTTTCTCAGAATGTTTATGTGTAGTTTTTATGTGAAGATATTTACTTTTCCAATGTCGGCCTCAAAGTGCTCCAAATATCAACTTAGAGATTCACAAAAACAGTGTTTCAAAACCGCTTAATGAAAAACTAGGTTCATCTCTGTGAGATGAATGCACACATCACAAAGAAGTTTCTCAGAATGCTTCTGTGTAGTTTTTATGGGAAGATAATTCCTGTTCCAAAATAGGCCTCAAAGCCCTCCAGATATCCACTTGCAGACTGTACAAAAAGTGTGTTTCATAACTGTTCAGTCAAAGAAATTTTCAACTCTGTGTGGT
Organism: Homo sapiens; assembly: GCF_000001405.40. Lineage (NCBI taxonomy): Eukaryota > Metazoa > Chordata > Mammalia > Primates > Hominidae > Homo > Homo sapiens. Next base: position 12,337,140 of record NC_000022.11, read on the forward strand.
GAATGGACTCATCACAAAGTAGTTTCTCAGAATGCTTCTGTGTAGTTTTTTTGTGAAGATATTTCCTTTATCACAAGGGCCACAAAGGGCTCCTAATATCCACTTGCAGATTCTACAAAAAGAGAGATTCAAAACTGCTCAATCAAAAGATAGATTTAACTATGTGAGTTGAATGCACATATCATAAAGATGTGTCTCAGAATGCTTCTGTGTAATTTTTATATGAAGATATATCCTTTTCCACAATAGGTTTCAAAGCCCTCAAAATACCCACTTGCACATCCTACAAAAAGAGTATTTCAAAACTACTCAACCAAAGAAAGATTCAACTCTGTGAGTTGAATGCACACATCACGAAGAAGTTTCTCAGAATGTGTCTGTGCAGTTTTTATTTGAAGATATTTCCTTTTCCTCCATAGGCTGCAAAGGGCTACACATATCCACTTGCAGATTCCACAAACAGAGATATTCAAAACTGCCCAATCTAAAGATGCGTTCAACCTTATGAGTTGAATGCACACATCACAAAGTAGTTTCTCAAAATGCTTCTGTGTATTTTTTATGTGAAGATATTTACTTTTCCACAATAGGCCTCAAAGCGCTCCAAATATCCCCTTGCAGATACTACAAAAAGAGCGTTTCAAAACTTCTCAATCAAAAGAAAGGTTCAACTCTTTGAGATTAATGCGCCTATCACAAAGAAGTTCCTCAGAATGCCTCTGTGTAGTTTTTATTTGAAGATATTTGCTTTTCTGCAGTAGGCCTCAAAACACTGCAAATATCCAGTTGCAGATTCTACAAAAACAATGTTTCAAAAGTGCTCAATCAAATAAAAATTCAACTCTGTGAGATGAATGCACACATCACAAAGAAGTTTCTGAGAATGCTTCTGTGTAGTTTTTATATGAAGATATTTCCTTTTCCACAATAGGCCTCAAAGTGCTCCAAATATCCACTTGCAGATTCTACAAAGAGAGTGTTTCAAAACTGCTCAATCATAAGATAGGTTCCACACAGTGAGATGAATGCACACATAACAAAGAAGTTTCTCAGAATGCATCTGTGTTGTTTTTATTTTTAGATATTTCCTTTTCCTGCATAGGCTGCAAAGGGCTCAAAATATCCACCTGCAGATTCTACAAAAAGAGAGATTCAAAACTGCTCCATCAAAAGAAAGGTTCAACTCTGTGAGATGAATGCACACATCACAAAGAAGTTTCTCAGAATGCTTCTGTGTAGTTTTCATGTGAAGATATTGCTTTTCCACAGTAGCCCTCAAACCGCTCCAAATATCCACTTGCAGATTCTTCAAAAGCAGTGTTTCAAAACCGCTCAATCAAAATAAACATTCAACTCTGTGAAATGAATGCACACATCACAAAGAAGTTTCTCAGAATTTTTCTGTGCAGTTTTTATGTGAAATTATTTCCTTTTCCACCACAGGCTGCAAAGGGCTCCAAATATCCCCTTGCAGATTCTACAATAAGAGAGATTGAAAACTGCATAATCGAAAGATAGGTTCAACTCTCCTAGTTGAATGCACACAGCACGAAGAATTTTCTCAGAATGCTTCTGTGTAGTTTTCTTTGGAAGATATTACCTTTTCCACTATAGGCCCCAAACTCTCTAAATATCCACTAGCAGATTCTACAAAAAGAGTGTTTCCAAACTGCTCAGTCAAAAGAAAGGTTCAACTCTGTGAGATGAATGCAAACATCGCCTAGAAGTTTCTCAGGATGCTTCTGTGTAGTTTTTATGTGAAGACATTTTCTTTTCCTAAATAGTCCTCAAAGCACCGCAAATATCCACTTGCAGATCCTACAAAAAGAGTGTTCCAAAGCTGTTCAAGCAAAAGAAAGGTTCAATTCTAGGAGATGACTTCACACATCACAAAGCAGTTTCTCAGAATGCTTCTGTGTAGTTTTTATATGAAGATACTGGTTTTTCCACAATAGGCCTCAAAGTGCTCCAAATATCCACTTGCAGATTCTACAAAAACAGTGTTTCATAACTGCTAAATTGAAAGAAATGTTCAACTATTTGAGATGAATGTACGCATCACAAAGGAGTTTCTCAGAATGCTTCTGTGTAGTTTTTATGTGAAGATATTTCCTTTTCCACAATGGGCCACAAAGCACTCAAAATATCCATTTGCTGATTCTACAAAAACAGAGTTTCAAAAAACTGCTCAATCATAAGATAGATTCAACTCTGTGAGATGAATGCTGACATAACAAAGATGTTTCTCAGAATGTTTCTGTGTAGTTTTTATTTGAAGATATTTCCTTTTCCAAAATAGGCAGCAAAGGGCTCCAAATATCCACTTGCAGATTCTGCAAAAAGAGAAATTCAAAACTCCTCAATCAAAAAACAGGTTCAACTCTGTGAGTTGAATGCACACATCACAAAGATGTTTCTCAGAATGCGTCTGTGTAGTTCTTATGTGAAGATATTTCCTTTTACACAGGAGACCTCAAAGGCCTCCACATATCCACTTGCAGATTCTACAAAAAGTGTGTTGCAAAATTGCTCAATCAAAAGAAAGGTTCAACTCTGTGAGATGAATGCACACATCACAAAGAAGATTATCAGAATGCTTCTTTGTAGTTTTTATGTGAAGATATTTGCTTTTCCACAGTTGGCCTCAAAATGCTCCAAATATCCAGTTGCAGATTCTACAAAGAGAGTGTTTCCAAACTGCTAAATCATAAGATAGGTTCAACTCTGTGAGATGAATGCACACATCACAAAGAAGTTTCTCAGAATGCTTCTGTGTAGTTTTTATGTGAAGATATTTCCCTTTACACAATGGGCTTCAAAGTGCTCCAAATATCCACTTGCAGATTCAACAAAAAGAGTGTTTCAAAACTGCTCAGTCATAAGATAGGATCAATTCTGTGAAATGAATGCATACATCACAAACAAGTTTCTCAGAATGCTTCTGTGTAGTTTTTATTTGAAGATATTTCCTTTTCCACCCTAGGCTGCAAAGGGCTCCAGATATCCACTTGCAGATTCTAGAAACAGAGAGATTCAAAACTGCTCAATCAAAGGATAGGTTCAACTCCATAAGATGAATGCACACATCACACAGAACTTTCTCAGAATGCTTTTGCATAGTTTTTATGTGAAGATATTTCCTTTTCCACAATAGGCATGAAAGCGCTCCATATATTCACTTGCAGATTCTACAAAAAGAGTTTTTCAAAACTGCTCTATCAAAAGAAAAGTTCAACTCTGTGAGATGAATGCCCACATCACTAAGAAGTTTCTGAGAAGGCTTCTGTGTATTTTTTATGCGAAGATATTTGCTATTCCAAAGTAGACCCCAAAGTGCTCCAAATATGCACTTGCAGATTCTTCAACAAGACTGTTTTGAAACTGCTTCATCAAAAGAAGTGTTCAACTCCGTCTGATGAATGCACTCATCACAAAGAAGTTTCTCAGAATGCTTCTGCGAAGTTTTTATTTGAAGATATTTCCTTTTCCTCCATAGGGTGCAAAAGTCTCCAAATATTCAGTTGCACAATCTACCAAAAGGTAGAGTCAAAACTGCGCAATCAAAAGACAGGTTCACCTCTTTGAGATGAATGTACACATCACAAAGAAGTTTCTCAGAATGGTTCTGTGTAGTTTTCATGTGAAGATATTTCCTTATCCACATTAGGCCTTAAAGCACTCCAATTATCCACTTACAGCTTCTAAAAAGTGAGTGTTTCAAAACTTCTCTATCATAAGCTCAAATCTGTGAGATGAAAGCACACATCGCAAAGAGGTTTCTCAGAATGCTTTGTGTAGTTTTTATTTGAAGATATTTCCTTTTTCTCCATACGCCACAAAGGGCTCCAAATATCCAATTGCAGATTCTACAAAAAGAGAGATGCAGAACTGCTCAAGCAAAACATAATTTCAACACTTTGAGTTGAATGCACACAACCAAAGAAGTTTCTCAGAATGCTTCTGTGAAGTTTCTATGTGAAGATATTTCCTTTTCCACCATAGGGCACAAAGGGCTCAAAATATCCACTTGCAGATTTTACAGAAAGAGAGATTCAAAACTGCTCAATCAGAAGGTATGTTGAAATCTGTGAGACGAATGCACTCATCACAAAGAAGTTTCTCAGTATGCTTCTGTGTAGTTTTTATGTGAAGGTATTTCCTTTTCCCCAAAAAGCCTCAAAATGCTCCAAATATCCACTTGCAGATTCTACAAAGAGAGTGTTTCAAAAGTGCTAAATCATAAGATAGGCTCAATTCCGTGAGATGAATGCACACATCCCAAAGAAGTTTCTCAGAATGCTTCTGTGTAGTTTTTATGTTAAGATATTTCCTTTTCCACAATAGGCTTGAAAGTGCTCCAATTATCCACTTGCAGATTCTACAAAAAGAATGTTTCAAAACTGATCAATCATAAGATAGGTTCAACTCTGTGAGATGAGTGCACACATCACAAAGATATTTATCAGAAGGATTCTGTGTAGTTTTTATCCGACGATACTTGCTTTTCCACAGATGGCCTCAAAGCACTCCAAATATCCACTTGCAGATTCAACAAAAACAGTGTTTCAAAACTGCTGAATCATAAGATAGGTTCAACTCTGTGAGATGAATGCACACATCACAAAGAAGTTTCTCAGAATGCTTCTGTGCAGTTTTTATGTGTAGATACTTCGTTTTCCACAATAGACCTCAAAGCTTTCCAAATATCCACTTGCAGATTCTACAAAAAAAGGTTTCAAAACTGCTCATTCAAGGGAAATGTTCAACTCTGTGAGATGAATGCACACATCACAAAGAAATTAGTCAGAATGCTTCTGTGTAGTTTTTATGTGAAGATATTTGCTTTTCCACAGTAGGCCTCAAAGTGCTCTAATATCCACTTGTAGGTTTTACGAAAACAGTGTTTCAAAACTGTCCAATCAAAAGAAAGTTTCACCTCTGTGAGATGAATGCACACCTCATGAAGAAGTTTCTCAGAATACTTCCATATAATTTTAATGTGAAGATATTTGCTTTTCCACAGGCGGCCTCAAAGCGCTCCAAATATCCACTTGCAGATTCTACAAAGCAAGTGTTTCAAATCTGCTCAGTCATAAGATAGGTTCAAATCTCTGATATGAAGGCACATATCACGAAGAAGTTTCTCAGTATGGGTCTCTGTAGTGTTTAGTAGAAGATATTTCCTTATCGTCCATAGGCCACAACGGGCTCCAAATATCCACTTGCAGATTCTAGAAAAACAGAGATTCAAAGCTGCTCAATCAAAAGATAGGTTCAACTCTGCGAGTTGAATGCACACATCACAAAGAAGTTTCTCAGAATGCTTCTGTGTAGTTTTTATGTGAAGATATTTCATTTTCCACAATAGACCTCAAAGCACTCCAAATATCCACTTGCAGATTCTACAAAAAGAATGTTTCAAAACTTCTCAATCAAAACAAAAGTTCAACTCTGTGAGATGAATGCACACTTCACACAGAAGTTTCTCAAAATGTTTCTGTGTAGTTTCTATTTGAAGATATTTCCTTTTCCACTATAGGCCACAAAGGGCTCAAAATATCCACTTGCAGATTTTACAGAAAGAGAGATTCAAAACTGCTCAATCAGAAGGTATGTTGAAATCTGTGAGATGAACGCACTCATCACAAAGAAGTTTCTCAGAATGATTCTGTGTAGTTTTTATGTGAAGATATTTCCTTTTCCACAAAAGCCTCAAAACGCTCCAAATATCCACTTGCAGATTCTACAAAGAGAGTGTTTCAAAACTGCTAAATCATAAGATACACTCAATTCTGTGAGATGAATGCACACATCCCAAAGAAGTTTCTCAGAATGCTTCTGTGTAGTTTTTATGTTAAGATATTTCCTTTTCCACAATAGACTTGAAAGCACTTCAATAATCCACTTGCAGATTCTACAGAAAGAATGTTTCAAAACTGATCAATCATAAGATAGGTTCAACTCTGTGAGATGAGTGCACACATCACAAAGATATTTATCAGAAGGATTCTGTGTAGTTTTTATCCGACGATACTTGCTTTTCCACAGATGGCCTTAAAGCGCTCCAAATATCCACTTGCAGATTCAACAAAAACAGTGTTTCAAAACTGCTGAATCATAAGATAGGTTCAACTCTGAGATGAATGCACACATCACAAAGAAGTTTCTCAGAATGCTTGTGTGTAGCTTTTATTTGAAGATATTTCCTTTTCCTCCATGGGCCCCAAAGGGCTCCAAATATCTACTTACAGCTTCTACAAAAAGAGAGATTCAAAACTGCTCAATCAAAAGATAAGTTCACCTCTGTGAGTCTAATGCACATATCACAAAGTAGTTTCTCAGAATGCTTCTGTGTAGTTTTTATGTGTAGATATTTCGTTTTCCACAATAGACCTCAAAGCTTTCCAAATATCCACTTGCAGATTCTACAAAAAGAGTATTGCAAAACTGCTCGTTCAACGGAAAGGTTCAACTCCAGGAGATGAATGCACACATCACAAAGCAATTACTCAGAATGCTTCTGTGTAGTTTTTATGTGAAGATATTTGCTTTTCCATAGTAGGCCTCAAAGTCCTCCAATATCCACTTGTAGGTTTTACGAAAACAGTGTTTCAAAACTGTCCAATCAAAAGAAAGTTTCAACTCTGTGAGATGAATGCGCATATCACGAAGAAGTTTCTCAGAATACTTCCGTATAATTTTAATGTGAAGATATTTGCTTTTCCACAGGAGGCCTCAAAGCACTCCAAATATTCACTTGCAGATTCTACAAATCAAATGTTTCAAATCTGCTCAATCATAAGATAGGTTCAACTCTGTGATATGAAGGCACACATCACGAAGAAGTTTCTCAGTATGCGTCTCTGTAGTGTTTACTAGAAGATATTTCCTTATCGTCCATAGGCCACAAAGGGCTCCAAATATCCTCTTCCAGATTCTACAAGAAGAGAGATTAAAAACTTCACAATCAAAAGATTGGTTCAACTCTGTGAGTTGAATGCACACATCACAAAGTAGTTTCTCAGGATGCTTCTGTGTATTTTTTTTGTTAAGATATTTACTAACCCTTTTCAACAATAGGACTCAAAGCACTGCAAATATCCACTTTCATATTATACAAAAAGAGTGTTACAAAACTGCTCATTCAAAAGAAAGTTTCAACTCTGTGAGATGAATGCAGACATCACAAAGAAGTATCTCAGAATGCTTCTGTGTAGTTTTTATGTGAAGATATTTGCTTTTCCACAGTAGGGCTCAAAGCGCTCCAAATTTCCATTGCAGATACTACAAAAACAGGGTTTCAAAAGTGCTCAATGAAAAGAAAGTTTCAACTCTGTGAGATGAATGCACACACCACAAAGAAGTTTCTATGAATGCTTCTGTGTAATTTCTATGTGAAGATATTTCTTTGCCACAATAGGCCTCCAAGCGCTCCAAGTATACACTTGCAGATTTTACAAAGAGAGTGTTTCAAAACTGCTCAATCATAAGATAGGTTCAACTCTGTGAGATGAATGCACACAGCCCAACGAAGTTTCTCAGAATGATTCTGTGTAGTTTTTATGTGAAGATATTTGATTTTCCACAGTAGGCCTCAAAGCGCTCCAAATATCCCCTTGCAGATTCTACAAAAACAGTGTTTTAGAACTGCTGAATTATACTTTAGGTTCAACTCTGTGAGATGAATGCACACATCACAAAGAAGTTTCTCAGAATGCTTCTGTGTAGTTTTCAGGTGAAGATATTTCCTTTTCCTCCATAGGATGCAAAGGGCTCCAAATATCCAATTGCTGATTCTACAAAAAGAGAGATTCAAAACTGCTCAATCAAAAAATAATATCAACTCTGTGATTTTAATGCACACGTCACAAAATACTTTCTCTGAATGCTTCTGTGTAGTGTTTATGTGAAGATATTTCCTTTTCCACAATAGGAATCAAAGCACTGCAAATATCCACTTGCATATTCTACAAAAAGTGTGTTTAAAAACTGCTCAATCAACAGAAAGTTTCAATTCTATGTGATGAATGCACACATCGCAAGGAAGTTTCTCAGAATGCTTCTGTGTAGTTTTTATGTGAAGATATTTGCTTTTCCACAGGAGGCCTCAAAGCCCTCCAAATACCCACTTGCAGATACTCCAAAAATAGTGTTTCAAAACTGCTGAATCAAAATAATGGTTGAAATCTGTTAGATGAATGCACACATCACAAAGAAGTTTGTCAGAATCCTTCTGTGTAGTTTTCATGTGAAGACATTTCCTTTTCCACAACGGGCCAGATAGCAATCCAAGTATCCACTTGCAGATTCTACAAAGAGAGAGATTCAAAACTGCTCAATCAAAAGAAAGGTTTAGCTCTGTGTGATGAATGCACTAATCACAAAGAAGTTACTCAGAATGCTTCTGTGTAGTTTTTATGTGAATATATTTCCTTTTCCACAATATGCCTCAAAGCGCTCCAAATATCCACTTGCAGATTCTACAAAAAGAGTTTTTGAAAACTGCTTAATCATAACGTAGGTTCAACTCCGTGAGATGAATGCACACATCACAAAGAAGTTTCTCAGAATGCTTCTGTGTATCTTTAACATGAAAATAATTGCTTTTCCACAGAAGGCCTCAAATCGCTCCACATATCCGCTTGCGGATACTACAAAAACAGTGTTTCAAAACAGCTCAATGAAAAGAAAGGTTCAACTCTGTGAAATGAATGCACACATCACAAAGAAGTTTCTCAGAATGTTTCTGGTAGTTTTTACTGGAAGATATTTCTGTGCCACAATAGACTTCAAAGCGCCACAAGTATCCACTTGCAGATTCTACAAAGGGAGTGTTTCAAAACTGCTCAATCATAAGATAGCTTCAACTCTGTGAGACTTATGCACACATCGCAAAGAAGTTTCTCAGAATGCTTCTGTGTAATTTTTATGTGAAGATATTTCCTTTTCGACAATAGGCCTCAATACGCTCTGAATATCCACTTGCAGTTTCTATAAAAAGTGAGTTTGAAAACTGCTCAATCAAAAGAAAGTTTCAACTCTGTGAGATTAATGCACACATCACAAAGAAGTTTCTGAGAATGCTTCTGTGTAGTTTTAATTGGGAGATATTTCCTTTTCCTCCATAGGTCACAAAGGACTCCAAATATCCACTTGAATATTCTACAAAAAAAAATATTGAGAGATTCAAAACTGCTCAATCAGAAGATAGTTTCAACTCTGTGAGTTGTATGTACACTTCAAAAAGAAGTTTCTCAAAATGCATGTGTGTAGTTTTTATTTGAAGATATTTCCTTTTCCTCTGTAGGTGGCAAAGGGCTCCAATTATCCACTTGCAGATTCTACAAAAGGAGAGATTCAAAACTGCTCAATCAAAAGATTGGTTCAACAATGTGAGTTGAATGCACACATCACAAAGATGTTTCTCAGAATGCTTTCGTGTAGTTTTTATGTGAAGATGTTTCCTTTTCCACTATAGGCCTCAAAGTGCTCAAAATATCCACGTGTAGATTCTACAAAAAGAGTGTTTCAAAACTGTCCAATCAAAATAAAGTTTCAATTCTGTGAGATGAATGCATACATCACAAAGAATTTTCTCAGAATGATTTGTGTAGTTTATATTTGAAGATATTTCCTTTTCCAACGTAGGCCTTAAAGAGCTCCAAATATCCACTTGAAGATTCTACAAAAGAGAGATTCAAAACTGCTCAATAAAAAGATATGTTCAACTCTATGAGTTCAATGCACTCATCACAAAGAAGTTTATCAGAATACTTCTGAGTAGTTGTTATGTGAAGATATTTCCTTTTCTACCATATGCCGCAAAGGGCTCCAAATATCCATTTGCACATTCTACAAAAAGTGAGATTTAAAACTGCTCAATCAAAAGACGGGTTCAACTCTGTGGGTTGAATGCACACATCACAAAGAAGTTTCTCAGAATGCTTCTGTGTAGTTTTTATGTGAAGATATTTCCTTTACCATAATATGCCTCAAAGCGCTCCAAATATCCACTTGCAATTTCTAAAAAAGGAGTGTTTAAAAACTGCTCAATCGAAAGAAAGTTTCAACTCTCTGAGATGAATGTACACATCACACAGAAGTTTCTGAGAATGCTTCTGTGTAGTTTTTATTGGAAGATATTTCCTTTTCCTCCATATGTCAGAAAGGGCTCCAAATGTCCACTTGCAGATTCTACAAAAAGACAGATTCAAAACTGCTCGATGAAAAGAGAGGTTCAACACTGTGAGTTGAATACACACATCAATAATGCGCTTCTCAGAATGTTTCTGTGTAGTATTTATGTGAAGATATTTCCTTTTCCACAGTAAGCCTCAAAGCGCTCCAAATATCCACTTGCAGATTCTAGAAAGACAATGTTTCAAAACTGCTCAATCGTAAGATAGGTTCAACCCTGTGAGATGAATGCACACATCACAAAGAAGTTTTTCAGAATGGTTCTGTGTATTTTTTATGTGAAGCTATTTGCTTTTCCGTGGTAAGCCTCAAAACCCTGCAAATACCGACTTGCAGATTCTACAAGAACAGTGTTTGAAAACTGCCAAATCAAAAGAAAGTTGGAATTTTGTGAGATGAATGCACACATCACAAAGAAGTTTCTCAGAATGCTTCTGTGTAGTTTTTATGTGAAGATATTTCTTTGCCATAGTAGGCCTCAAAGCACTCCAAGTATCCACTTGCAGATTCTACAAAGAGAGTGTTTCAAAACAGCTTAATCATAAGATAGGTACAACTCTGTGAGATGAAAACATACATCACAAAGAAGTTTCTCAGAATGCCTCTGTGTAGTTTTTATTTGAAGATATCTCCTTTTCCTCCGTAGGTGGCATAGGGCTCCAATTATCCACTTGCAGATTCCACAAAAAGAGAGATGCAAAACTGCTTAATCAAAAGATAGGTACAACTCTGTGAGTTGAATGCAAACATCACAAAGATGTGTCTCAGAATGCTTCTCTGTAGTTTTTATGTGAACATCTTTCCTTTTCCACAATAGGCCTCAAAGTGCTCCAAATATCCACTTGCAGATACTACAAAAAGAGTGTTTCAAAACTGCTCAATAAAAAGAAAAGTTCAACTCTGTGAGATGAATGTACACATCACAAAGAAATTTCTCAATATGTTTCTGTGCAGCTTTTATGTGAAGATATATGCTTTTCCACCGTAGGACTCCAAGGGCTCCATATATCCACTTACAGATTCTACAAAAACAGTGTTTCAAAACTGCTCAATCAAAATAAAGGTTGAACACTGGTGAGATTAATCCACACATCACAAAGAAGTTTCTCAGAATGTTTCTGTGTAGTTTTTATGTGAAGATATCTCCTTTTCCACAGTAGGTCTCAAAGCACTCCAAATATCCACTTGCAGATTCTAGAAAGAGAGTGTTTCAATACTGCTCAATCATAAGATAGGTTCAACCCTGTGAGATGAATGCACGCATCACAAATAAGTGTCTCAGAATTCTTCTGACTGGTTTTTATATGAAGATATTTCCTTTTCCACCATAGGCCTTAAAGCGCTAAAAATGTACGCTTGCATATCCTACAAAAAGTGTATTTCCTAACTGGTCTGTCAAAAGAATGGTTCAAATCTGGGAGATGAATGCACACATCACAAAGAAGTTTCTCAGAATTCTTCTGCCTTGTTTTTATGTGAAGATAATTTCTTTTCCACCACAGGCCCCAAATCGCTCCAAATGTCCACTTGCAGATTCTACAAAAAGAGAGTTTCAAAACTGCTCAATCAAAAAAAAGTTTAACTGTGTGAGATGAATGCACACATAACAAATAAGTCTTTCAGATTGCTTCTGTCTAGATTTTATGTGATGATATTTCCTTTTCTACCATAGGCCACAAAGCTTTCCAAATGTCCACTTGCAGATTCTACAAAAAGAGTGTTTCCAAACTGCTTAATCAAAAGAAATGTTCAACTCTGTGAGATGAACGCACTCATCACAAAGAAGTTTGTCAGAATTCTTCTGTCTAGTTTTTATATGAAGATACTTCCTTTTCCACCTTAGGCCTGAAGGCTCTCAAAATGTCCACTTGCAGATCCTACAAAAAGAGTATTTCAAAACTGTTCCACCAAAAGAAAGCTTCAACTCTGAGAGATGAATGCACACATCACAAAGAAGTTTCTCAGAATGCTTCTATCTAGTGTTTATGTGAAGATATTTCCTTTTGCACTATAGGCCTCAAAGCACTCCAAATGTCCACTTGCAGATTCTACAAAAGAGAGTTTCAAAACTACTCAATGAAAATAAAGGTTTAACTTCTTGAGATGAATGCACACATCACAAAGAAGTTTCTGAGATTGCTTTTGTCTAGATTTTAAGTGAAGATATTTCCTTTTCTACAATAGACCGCAAAGTGATCCAAATGTCCATTTGTAGATTCTACAAAAAGAGTGTTTCCAAACTGCTGAATCAAATGAAAGGTTCAACTTTGTGAGAAAGGTATAACACATCACAAAAAGTTTCTCAGAATTATTCTGTGTAGTTTTTATGTGAAAATATGTCCTTTTCCACCAAAGGCCTCAAAGTGCTCCAAATGTCCACTTGCAGATTCTACAAAAAGAGAGTTTCAAAACTGCACAATCAAAAGAGAGTGTTAACTCTGAGATGAACGCACACACCACAAAGAAGTTTCTCAGATTGCTTCTGTCTGGATTTTATGTGAAGGTATTTCCTTTTCTACAATAGGCCGCAAAGCGCTCCAAATATCCACTTGCAGATTCTACAAAAAGAGTGTTTCCAAACTGCTCAATCAAAAGAAAGTTTCAACTCTGTGAGATGAACACACACAACACAAAGAAGTTTCTCAGAATTCCTCTGTCTAGTTTTTATGTGAAGATATTTCCTTTTCCGCCATAGGCCTCAAACCTCTGCAAATATCCACATGGAGCTACAAAAAGAATGTTTCCAACTTGCTCAATTGAAAGAAAGTTCAACTATGTGAGATGAATGCACACATCACAGAGTAGTTTGTCAGAATTCTTCTGTGTAGTTTTTATTTGAAGATATTACCTTTTCCACCATAGGCCTCAAATTGCTCCAAATATCCACTTGCAGATTCTGCAAAAAGAGAGTTTCAGAACTGCTCTATCAAAAGAAATATTTAACTCTGTGAGATGGAGGCACACATCCTAAAGAAGTTTCTCAGATTGCTTCTGTCTAGATTTCATGTGAAGATATTTCCTTTTCTACCATAGGCCAGAAAGCGCTCCAAATGTCCATTTGCAGATTCTACAAAAAGAGAGTTTCCAAAGCGCTCAATCAAAAGAAAAGCTCAACTCTGTGATATGAACGCACACATCACAAAGAAGTTTCTCAGATCACTTCTGTATAGATTTTATGTGAAGGTATTTCCTTTTTTACCATAGGCCGCAAAGTGCTACAAATGTCCACTTGCAGATACTACAAAAAGAGCGTTTAAAAATTGCTCAATCAAAAGGAAGGTTCAACTCTGTGAGATTAAAGCACACATCACAAAGAAGTTTCTCAGAATTTTTCTGTCTAGTATTTTTTTATTATTTTTATTTTTTTATTATTATCCTTTAAGTTTTAGGATACATGTGCACATTGTTCAGGTTAGTTACATATGTATACATGTGCCATGCTGATGTGCTGCACCCACTAACTCGTCATCTAGCATTAGGTATATCTCCCAATGCTATCCTTTCCCCTCCCCCACCACACAACAGTCGCCAGAGTGTGATGTTCCCCTTCCTGTGTCCATGTGTTCTCATTGTTCAATTCCCACTTATGAGTGAGAATATGCTTTGTTTGTTTTTTTGTTCTTGTGATAGTTTACTGAGAATGATGATTTTCAATTTCATCCATGTCCCAACAAAGGACATGAACTCATCATTTTTTATGGCTGCATAGTATTCCATGGTGTATACGTGCCACATTTTCTTAATCCAGTCTATCATTGTTGGACATTTGGGTTGGTTCAAAGTCTTTGCTATTGTGAATAGTGCCACAATAAACATACGTGTGCATGTGTCTTTGTAGCAGCATGATTTGTAGTCCTTTGGGCCTATACCCAGTAAGGGGATGGCTGGGTCAAATGGTATTTCCAGTTCTAGATCCCTGAGGAATCGTCACACTGATTTCCACAATGGTTGAACTAGTTTACATTCCCACCAACAGTGTAAAAGTGTTCCTATTTCTCCACATCCTCTCCAGCACCTGTTGTTTCCTGACTTTTTAATGATTGCCATTCTAACTGGTGTGAGATGGTATCTCATTGTGGTTTTGATTTGCATTTCTCTGATGGCCAGTGATGATGAGCATTTTTTCATGTGTTTTTTGGCTGCATAAATGTCTTCTTTTGAGAAGTGTCTGTTCATGTCCTTCACCAACTTTTAGATGGGGTTGTTTGTTGTTTTCTTGTAAATTTGTTATTTGAATATATTTCCTTTTCCACCATAGACCTCAAAGTGTTCCAAATGTCCACTTGCAGATCGTACAAAAATAGTTTCAAAACTGCTTCATCAAAAAAAAGTTTAACTCTGTCAGATGAATTCTCACATCAATAAGAATTATGTCAGATTGCTTCTGTCTAGATTGTATGTGAAGATATTTCCTTTTCTGCCACAGGCCGCAAAGTGCTCCAAATGTCCACTTGCAGATTCAACAAAAAGAGTGTTTCCAAACGGCCCAAACAAAAGAAAGTTTCAACTCTGTGAGAGGAACGCACACATCACAAAGTAGTTTCTCAGAATTTGTCTTTCTAGATTTTATGAGAAGATAATTCCTTTTTCACCATAGGTCTCAAAGCCTTCCAAATGTACAAATGCAGATTCGACAAAAAGAGAGTTTAAAAACTGCTCAATCAAAAGAAAGGGTTAACTCTGTGAGATCAATACACAAATCACAAAGAAGTTTCACAGATTGCTTCTTGCAGATTCTACAAAAAGAGTGTTTCCAAAATGCTCAATCCAAAGAAAGGTTCAACTCTGTGAGATGAACATACACATCACAAAGAAGTTTCCCAGAATGTGTCTATATAGTTTTTACGTGAAGATATTTCCTTTTCTGTCATAGGCCACAAAGCACTCCAAATATCCACCTGCAGATTCTACAAAAAGAGTGTTTCCAAACTGTTGAATGAAAAGAAAGTTTCAATCCTGTGAGACGAACTCACACATCACAAAGAAGTATCTCGGAATTCTTCTGTCTACCTTTTATGTGAAGATATTTCCTTTTCCACCATAGGCCTCAAATCACTCAAAATGTCCACTTGCAGATATTACAAAAATAGATTTTCAAAACTGCTCCATCAAAAGAAAAGTTTAAATCTGTGGGATGAATGCACACATCACTAAGAAGTTTCTCAGATTTCTTCTGTCTAGATTTTATGTGAAGATATTTCCGTTTCTACTGAAGGCCACAAAACTCTGTCTAGGATATTTCATTTTCCATTACAGGCCTCAAAGTGCTCCAAATGTCCACTTTCAGATTCTACAAAAAGAGTGTTTCCAAATTGCTCAATGAAAAGAAAGCTTTAACTCTGTGAGATGAAGGCACATATCACAAAGATGTTTCTCAGAACTCCTCTGTCTAGTTTTTATTTGAAGATATTTCCTTTTCCACCATAGGCCTCAAAGCGCTCAAAATGTCCCCTTACAGATTCTACAAAAAGTCTGTTTCCAAACTGCTCAATCAAAAGAAAGTTTCAATTCTGTGAGATGAACGCACACATCACAAAGAAGTTTCTCAGAATTCTTCTGTCTAGTTTTTGTGTGAAAATATTCCCTTTTCTAAAATAGGCCCAAAAGCACTCCAAATGTCTGCTTGCAGATTCTACAAAAAGAGCAGTTTCCAAACTGCTACATCAAAAGAAATGTTCAACTCTGTGAGGTTAATGCACGCATTACAAAGAAGTTTCTCAAAATTATTCTTTCTAGTTTTTATGTGAATATTTTTGCTTTTCCACCACAGGCCTCAAAGCGCTCCAAATGTCCACTTTCAGATGTTACAAAAAGAGTGTTTCCAAACTGCTCAATCAAAAGAAAGTTTCAACCCTGTGAGATGATTGCACACATCAGAAAGAAGTTTCTCAGATTGCTTCTGTCTAGATTTTATGTGAAGATATTTCCTTTAGTACAACAGGCCCCAAAGTGCTCCAAATGTCCACTTGCAGATTCTAGAAAAAGAGTGTTTCCAAACTGCTGAATCAAAAGAAAGGTTCAACTCTGTGAGATCAATGCACACATCACAAAGAAATGTCTCAGAATTCTTCTGTATAGTTTTTATGTGAAGATATTTCCTTTTCCACAATAGGCATCAAAGTGCTCCAAATGTCCACTTGCAGATTCTACAAAAATAGAATTTCAAAACTGCTCAATCAAAAGAAAGGTTTAAGTCTGTGAGATGAATGCACACAACACTAAGAAGCTTCTCAGATTGCTTCTGTCAGATTCTACGTGAAGATATTTCCCTTTCTACCACAGGCAGCAAAATGCTCCAAATGTCCAATTTCAGATTCTACAAAAACAGAGTTTCAAAACTGCTCAATCAAAAGAAAGCTTTAAATCTGTGAGGTGAAAACACACATCAAAAAGTAGTTTCTCATATTGCTTCTGTCTAGATTTTATGTGAAGATATTTCCTTTTCTGCCATAGGCTGCAAAGCCCTCCAAAAGTCCACTTGCAGATTCAACAAAAAGAGGGCTTCCAAACTGCTCAACCAAAGGAAAGTTTCAAGTATGTGAGATGAATGCACACACCACAAGGAAGTTTCTCAGAATTCTTCTGTCTAGTTTTTATGTGAAGGTATTTCCTGTTCCACCATAGGCCTCAAAGTGCTCCAAATGTCCACTAGTAGATCCTACAAAAAGAAAGTTTCAAAACTGCTCCATCAAAAGAAAAGTTTAATTCTGTGAGATGAATGAACACATCACAAAGAAGTTTCTCAGATTGCTTCTGTCTAGATTTTATGTGAAGATATTTCCTTTTCTAACATAGGCTGCAAAGCGACCCAAGTGTCCACACGCTGATTGTACAAACGAAGGGTTTCCAAACTGCTCAATCCAAGGAAAGTTTCAGCTCTGTGAGATGAACGCATACATCACAAAGAAGTTTCTCAGAATTCTTCTGTCTAGTTTTTATGGGAAGATATTCCCATTTCCACCACTGACCTCAAAGGGCTCAAAATGTCCAACTGCAGATTCTACAAAAAGAGAGTTTCTAAACTGCTAAATCAAAAGAAATGTTGGACTCTGCGAGATGAATGTGCACATCACAAAGAAATTTCTCAAATTACGTCTGTCTAGATTTTATGTGAAGATATATCCTTTTTTACCATAGGCCGCAAAGCGCTCCAAATGTCCACTTGCAGAGTCCAAAAAAAGTGTGTTTCCAAACTGCTCAATCAAAAGAAAGGTTCAACTCTGTGAGATGAATACCCACATCACAAAGATGTTTCTCAGAATTCTTCTGTCTAGTTTTTATGTGAAGATATACCCTGTTCCACCATAGGCCTCTAAGCGATAGAAATGTCCAATTGCAGATTCTACAAAAAGAGAGTATCAAAACTGCTCAATCAAAAGAAAGGGTTAACCCTTTGAGATGAATACACATATCATAAAGAAGTTTCTCAGATTGCTTCTGTCTGGATTTTATGTGAAGATATTTCCTTTTCCACCTTAAGTTGCAAGGCGCTCCAAATGTCCACTTGCAGATTCTACAGAAAGAGTGTTCCAAACCGTTCAATCATAAGAAAAGTTCAACTCAGAGATATGAACGCCCATAACAAAAAGAAGTTTCTCAGAATTCTTCTGTCTAGTTTTTATGTGATGATATTTCCTTTTCCAATATAGGCCTCAAGGAGCTCGAGGTGTCCACTTGCAGATTCTACAAAAAGAGTACTTCGAAACTGGTCCTTCAAAAGAAAGGTTCATCTCTGGGACATGAATGCACACATCACAAAGAAGTTTCTCAGAATGCTTCTATCTAATTTTTATATGAAGATATTTCCTTTTCCACCATAAGCTTCAAAGCTCTCCAAATGTCCACTTGCAGATAGTACAATAAGAGAGTTTCAAAACTGCTCAATCAAAAGACAGCTTTAACTCTGTGAGATGAATGCACACATCACAAAGAAGTTTCTCAGATTGCTTCTGCCTAGATTTTATGTGAAGATATTTCCTTTTCTACCGTAGGCCATAAAGCATTCCAAAAGTCCACCTGCAGATTCTACAAAAAGAGTGTTTCCAAACTACTCAATCCAAAGAAAGGTTCAACTCTGTGAGATGAACGCACACATCACAAAGAAGTTTCTCAGAATTCTTCTGTCTAGTTTCTATGTGAAGGTATTTCCTTTTCCACCATAGGCCTCAAAGCTCTCTAAATGTCCACTTGTAGATTCTACAAAAAGAGAGTTTCAAAACTGCTCAATCTAAAGAAAGTTTTAACTCTGTGAGGTGAATTAACCCATCATGAAGAAGTTTCTCAGACTGCTTCCATCTAGATTTTATGTGAAGATATTTCCTTTTCTACCATAGGCTGCAAAGCACTCCAAATGTTCACTTGCAGATTCTACAAAAAGAGTGTTTCCAAACTGCTCAATCAAGAGAATGGTTCAACTCTGTGAGTTGAACGTACACATCACCAAGAAGTTTCTCAGAATTCTTCTGTCTAGTTTTTATTTGAAGATATTTCTTTTTCCACCATAGGCCTCAAAGTGCTCCAAATTTCTACTTGCAGTTTCTGCAAAAAGAGAGTTTCAAAACTGCTCAATCAAAGGAAAGTTTTAACTCTGTGAGATGAATGCACAGAGCATAAGGAAGTTTCTCAGATTGCTTCTGTCTAGATTTTATGTGAGATATTTCCTTTTCTAACAGAGGACGCAAAGCGCTCTAAACGTTCACTTGCAGATTCTACAAAAAGAGTGTTTCCAAACTGCTCTATCAAAATAAAGGTTCAACTCTGTGAGATGAACGCACACATCACAAAGAAGTTTCTCAGATTGCTTCTGTCTACAATTTATGTGAAAATATTTCCTTGTCAACCACAGGATGCAATGTGCTCCAAATGTCCACTTGCAGAGTCTACAAAAAGATTGTTTCCAAACTGCTCAATCAAAAGAAAGGCTCAACTCAGTGAGATGAATGCACAAATAACAAAGAAGTTTGTCAGTATTCTTCTGTCTAGTTTTTATGTGAACATATTTCCTCTTCCACCATAGGCCTCAAAGCGCTCCAAATGTCCACTTGCAGATTCTGCAAAAAGAGAGTTCCAAAACTGCTCAATCAAAAGAATGGTTTATATCTGTGAGATGACTGCACACATCACAAAAACTATTACAGTGTGCTTCTTTCTAGATTTTATGTAAAGATATTTCCTTTTCTACCATAGGCCACAAAGCGCTCCAAATGTCCACTTGCAGATTCTACAATAAGAGCATTGCCTAACTACTCAATCAAAAGAAATGTTAAAATCTGTGAGATTAACGCACAAGTCACAAGTAAGTTTCTCACAATTCTTCTGTCTAGTTTTTATGTGAAGATATTTCGTTTTCCAGCATAGGCCTCAAAGCACTCCAAATGTCCACTTGCAGATTCTACAAAAAGAGAGTTTCAAAACTGCTCAGTCAAAATAAGGCTTTAACTCTGTGAGATGAATGCACACAACAAAAAGAGGTTTCTCTTATGGCTTCTGTCTAGATTTTATGTAAAGATACTTAGTTTTCTAAAGTAGGTGGCAAAGCGATCCAAATGTCCACTTGCAGATTCTACAAAAAGAGTGTTTCAAAACTGCTCAATCAGAGGAAAGTTTTAACTGTGTGAGATGAATGCACACATCACAACGAAGTTTCTCAGATTGCTACTGTGTAGATTTTATGTTAAGATATTTCCTTTTCTCACAGAGACCGCAAAGCGCTCCAAATGTCCACTTGCAGGTTCTACAAAACGAGAGTTTCAAAACTGCTCAATTCAAAGAAAGGTTCAACTCTGTGAGATGAATGCACACATCACAAAGAAGTTTCTCAGAATTTTTCTGTCTAGTTTTTATGTGAAGATATTCCCTTCTAAAATAGGTCCAAAAGCGCTCCAAATGTCTGCTTGCAGGTTCTACATAAAGAGTGTTTCCAAACTGCTCCATCAAAAGAAATGTTCAACTCTGTGAGATTAACGCACGCATCACAAAGAAGTTTCTCAAAATTCTTCTGACTAGTTTTTATGTGAAGATTTTTGCTTTTCCTCCACAGGCCTCAAAGTGCTCCAAATGTCCACTTGCAGATGCTACAAAAAGAGTGTTTCCAAACTGCTTAATCAAAAGAAAGTTTCAACCCTGTGAGATGATCGCACACATCAGAAAGAAGTTTTTCAGATTGCTTCTGTCTAGATTTTATGTGAAGATATTTCCTTTAGTACAACAGGCCCCAAAGTGCTCCAAATGTCCACTTGCAGATTCTAGAAAAAGAGTGTTTCCAAACTGCTGAATCAAAAGAAAGGTTCAACTCTGTGAGATCAACGCACACATCACAAAGAAATGTCTCAGAATTCTTCTGTATCATTTTTATGTGAAGATATTTCCTTTTCCACAATAGGCATCAAAGCGCTCCAAAGGTCCACTTGCAGATTCAACAAAAAGAGGGTTTCCAAACTGCTCAACCAAAGGAAAGTTTCAAGTATGTGAGATGAATGCACACACCACAAAGAAGTTTCTCAGAATTCTTCTGTCTAGTTTTTATGTGAAGGTATTTTCTTTCCACCATAGGCCTCAAAGTGCTCCAAATGTCCACTTGCAGATCCTACAAAAAGGAAGTTTCAAAACTGCTCCATCAAAAGAAAAGTTTAACCCTGTGAGATGAATGCACACATCACAAGGAAGTTTCTGAGATTGCTACTGTGTAGATTTTATGTGAAGATATTTCCTTTTCTAACAGAGGCCGCAAAGAGCTCCGAATGTCCACTTGTAGGTTCTACAAAAAGAGTGTCAAAACTGCTCAATTCAAGGAAAGGTTCAACTCTGTGAGATGAATGCACACATCACAAAAAAGTTTCTCAGAATTCTTCTGTCTAGTTTTTATATGAAGATATTCCCCTTTCTAAAATAGGCCCAAAAGCACTCCAAATGTCTGCTTGCAGATTCTACAAAAAGAGTGTTTCCAAACTGCTCCATCAAAAGAAATGTTCAACTCTGTGAGATTAAACCACGCATCACAAAGAAGTTTCTTAAAATTCTTCTATCCAGTTTTCATGTGAAGATTTTTGCTTTTCCACCACAGGCTTCAAAGCGCTCCAAATGTCCACTTGCAGGTTCTACAAAAAGAGTGTTTCCAAACTGCTCAATTCAAAGAAAGGTTCAACTCTGTGTGATGAACGCACATATCACAAAGAAGTTTCTCAGAATTCTTCTGTCTAGTTTTTATGTGAAGCTATTTCCTTTTCCATCATAGTCCTCAAAGCGCTCCAAATGTCCACTTGTAGAATTTACAAAAAGAGAATTTCATAAATGCTCAATCAAAAGAAAGGTTTAACTCTGTGAGATGAATGCACACATCAGAAAGAAGTTTCTCACTTTGCTTCTGTGTAGATGTTAGTTGAAGATATTTCCTTTTCTACCATAGGCCACAAAGCGCTCAAAATGTCCACTTGTAGATTCTACAAAAAAGTGTTTCCAAACTGCTCAATCAAAAGAGAGTGTCAACTCAGTGTGATGAAAGCATATATCACTAAGAAGTTTCTCAGATTTCTTCTGTCTAGATTTTATGTGAAGAGACTGCCTTTTCTAACATATGCTGCAAAGCGCAAAAATGTGCAATTGCAGATTCTACAAAAGGAGAGTTTAAAAACTGCTCTATCAAAAGATAGGTTCAACACTGAGCTAAATGCAGACATCACAAAGAACTTTCTCAGATTGTTTCTCTCTAGATTTTATGTGAAGATATTTCCTTCTCTAACATAGGCTGCAAAGCGCTCCAAACGTCCACTTGCTGATTCTAAAAAAAGAGTGTTTCCAAACTGCTCAATCAAAACAAAGGTTCAACTCTGTGAGATGGACACACACATCACAAAGAAGTTTCTCAGATTGCTTCTGTCTAAAATTTATGTGAAGATAATTCCTTTTCAACCACAGGATGCAAAACGCTCCAAATGTCCACTTGCAGATTCCACAAATGATTGTTTCCAAACCAGTGAGTTGAACTCACTGGTTCAACTCAGTGAGACGAATGCACACATCATAAAGAAGTTTCTCAGAATTCTTCTGTCTAGTTTTAATGTGAACATATTTCCTCTTCCACCATAGGCCTCAAAGCGCTCCAAATGTACACTTGCAGATTCTTCAAAAAGAGAGTTCTGAAACTGCTGAATGAAAAGACAGGTTTATCTCTGTGCGATGAATGCACACATCACAAAAAACTTTTTCAGATTACTTCTTTCTAGATTTTATGTGAAGATATTTCCTTTTCTACCATAGGCCATAGAGCACTCCAAATGTCCACTTGCAGATTCTACAATAAGAGCATTGCCTAACTGCTCAATCAAAAGAAATGTTCAAATCTGTGAGATTAACGCACACATCACAAATAAGTTTCTCACAATTCTTCTGTCTAGTTTTTATGTGAAGATATTTCTGTTTCCACTATAGGCCTCAGAGCCCTCCAAATGTCTACTTGCAGATTCTACACAAAGAGAGTTTCAAAACTGCTCAATTAAAAGATAGGTTTAACCCTGTGAGATGAATGCACACGTCACAAAGAAGTTTCTCACATGGCTTGTGTCTAGATTTTATGCAAAGATATTCCTTTTCTAACATAGGCCACAAAGTGATCCAAATGTCCACTTGCAGATTCTACAAAAAGAGTGTTTCAAAACTGCTCAATCAAAATAAAAGTTGAACTCTGTGAGATGAGTGCACACATCACAAACAGGTTTCTCAGATTGCTTCTCTCTAGATTTTATGTGAAGGTATTTCCTTTTCTACCACAGGACGCAAAGCACTACAAATGTCCACTTGCAGCTTCTACAAAAAGAGTATTTCCAAACTGCTCAATGAAAAGAAAGGTTCACCTCGGTGAGATGAATGCTCACATCACAAAGAAGTTTCCCAGAATTCTTCTATATGGTATTTATTTGAAGATATTTCCTTCTCCACCATAGGCCTTAAGGCACTCAAAATGTCCTCTTGTAGATTCTTCAAAAAGAGTGTTTCAAAACTGGTCCTTCAAAATAAAGGTTAAACTATGACAGATGAATGCACACATCAAAAATAAGTTTCTCAGAATGCTTCTATCCAGTTTTTATGTGAAGATATTTCCTTTTCCACCATAGGCCTCAAAGCACTCCAAATGTCCACATGCAGATTCTACAAAAAGAGAGTTTAAAAACTGCTCAATCAAAAGAAAGGTTTAACTCTGTAAGATGAATGCTCTCATCACAAAGAAGTTTCTCAGATTGCTTCTGTCTAGATTTTATGTGAAGATATTTCCTTTTCTACCATAGGCCACAAAGCCCTCTAAATGTCCACTTCCACATTCTGCAAAAAGAGTGTTTCCAAATGGCACAATGAAAAGAAAGTTTCAACTCTGTGAGATGAACGCACACAACACAAAGAAGTTTCTGAGAATTCCTCTGTCTAGTTTTTATGTGAAGATATTTCCTTTTCCAACTTATGCCTCAAAGCACTCCAAAGTCCACTTGCAGATTCTACAAAAAAAGAGTTTCAAAACCGCTCAATCAAAAGAAAGTTTTAACCCTGTGAGATGAATGCACACATCACAAAGGAGTTTCCCAGATTGCTTGTTTCTAGATTTTATATGAAGATATTTCCTTTTCTACCATAGGCCACAAAACGCTCCAAATGTCCACGTGCAGATTCTAAATAAAGAGTGTTTTTAAACTGCTCAATCAAAAGAAAGGTTCATTTCTGTGTTATGAATGCACGCATCACAAAGATGTTTCTCAGAATTTTTCTATCTAGTTTTATGTGAAGATATTTCCTTTTTTCACCATAGGCCTTAAAGCACTCCAAATGTCCACTTGCAGATTCTGCAAAAACAGAGTTTCAAAACTGCTCAAGAAAAAGAAATGTTTAACTCTGTGAGATGAATGCACACATCACAAAGAAGTTTCTCAGATTGCTTCTGTCTAGATTTTATGTGAAGATTCTTCCTTTCCTAACAAAGCCACAAAGCGATCCAAATGTTCTCTTGTAGATTCTACAATTAGAGATTTTCAAAACTGTTCAATCAAAGGAAAGGTTTAACTCTGTGAGATGAATGCTCACATCACGAAAAGTTTCTCAGAATTATTCTGTCTAGTTTTCACGTGAAGATATTTCTTTTTCTACCATAGGCCTCAAAACGCTCCAAATGTCCACTTGTAGATTCTACAAAAAGAGAGTTTCAAAACTACACAATCAAAAGAAAGTGTTAACTCTGTGAGATGAATGCACACATCACAACAAAGTTTCTCAGATTGCTTCTGTCTAGATTTTATGTGAAGATATTTCTTTTTCTACCATAGGCCACCAAACGCTGCAAATGTCCACTTGCAGAATCTATAAAAAGAGTGCTTCCAAACTGCTCAATCAAAATAAAGGTTCAACTCTGTGAGATGAATGCATACATCACAAAGAAGTTTCTCAGAATTCTTCTGTGTAGTTTTTATGTGACGATATATCCTTTTCCACCATAGACCTGAAAGCGCTCCAAATGTCCACTTGCAGATTCTACAAAAAGAGAGTTTCTAAACTGTTCAATCGAAAGAAAGATTTGGCTCTGTGAGATGAATGCATACATTGCAAATAAGTTTCTAAGGTTGCTTCTGTTTAGACTTTAGGTGAAGATATTTCCTTTTCTACCTCATGCCACAAAGCGCTACAAATATCCACTTGCAGATTCTACAAAAACAGTGTTTCCAAACTGCTCAATCAAAAGTAAGTTTCAGCTCTGTGAGATGAACACAAATTTCACAAAGTAATTTCCTTTTCCACTGTAGGCCTCATAGCATTCCAAATGTCCGTTGCGGATTCCACAAAAAGAGATTTTCAAAACTGCTCAATCAAAAGAAAGGTTTAACTCTGTGAGATGAAAGCACACATCACAAATAAGTTTCTCAAATTGCTTCTGTCTAGGTTTTATGTGAAGATATTTCCGTTTCTACCATAGGCTGCAAAGCGCTCCATATGTCCACTTGCAGATTCTACAAAGGAGTGTTTCCAAACTGCTCAGTCAAAGGAAACGTTCAACTCTGTGAGATGAACACACCCATCACAAAGATGTTTCTCAGAATTCCTCTGCCTAGTTTTTATGTGAAGATATTTCCTTTTCCACCATAGGATCCAAAGCGATCCAAATGTCCACTTGAAGAGTATACAATAAGAGAGTTTCAAAACTGCTCAATCAAAAGAATGGTATAACTTTATGAGATGAATTCACATCTCACAAAGAAGTTTCGCAGATTGCTTCTGTCTAGGTTTTATGTGAAGATATTTCCTTTTCTACCATAGGTCACAAAGCGCTCCAAATGTCCACTTGCAGATTCTACAAAATCAGTGTTTCCAAACTGCTCAACCAAAAGAAAGGTTCAACTCTGTGCGATGAATGCATGCATCACAAAGAAGTTTCTCAGAATGCTTCTGTCTAGTTTTTATGTGAAGATATTTCCTTTTCCACCATAGGCCTCATAGCACTCCAAATGTCCACTTGCAGATTATACAAAAAGAGAGTTTCAAAACTGCTCAATCAAAAGAAAGGTTTATCTCTTTGAGATGAATGCACACATCACAAAGAAGTTTCTCAGATTGCTTTTGTGTAGATTTTAGTTGAAGATATTTCATTTTCTACCAAAGGCCGCAAAGCACTCCAAATTGTCCACTTGTGGATTCTACAAAAAGAGTGTTTCCAAAGTGCTCAATCAAAAGAAATGTTCAACTTTGTGAGATGAACTCACACATCATAAAGAAATTTCTCAGAATGCTTCCGTCTAGATTGTATGTGAAGATATTTCCTTTTCTAACATAGGCCCAAAAGTGCCCCAAATGTCCATTTGCCGATGGTATAAAAAGAGTGTTTCCAAACTGCTCAATCAAAGGAAAGTTCAACTCTGTGAGATGAACGCACACATCACAAAGAAGTTTCTCAGAATTCTTCTGTCTAGTTTTTATGTGAAGTTATTTCCTTTTCCACCAAAGGCCTCAAAGCGCTCCAAATGTCCACTTGCAGATTCTACAAAAAGAGAGTTTCAAAACTGCTCAATCAAAAGAAAGGTTTATCTCTGTGAGATGAAAATGCACATCAAAGAGAAGATTCTCAGATTGCCTCTGTTTAGGTTTTTTATGAAGATATTTCCTTTTCTACCATTGGCTGCAAAGCGCTCCAAATGTCCACTTGCAGATTCTACAAATGATTTTTTTCCAAACTGCCGAATCAAAAGAAACGTTCAACTCTGTGAGATGAACACACACATCACAAAGAAGTTTGTCAGAATTCTTCTGTAAAGTTTTTATGTGAAGATATTTCCTTTTCCACTATAGACCCCAAAGCACCCCAAATCTCCACTTGCAGTTTCTGCAAAAAGAGTGTTTCAAAACTACTAAATCAAAAGAAAAGTTTAACTCTCTGAGATGAAAGCACACATCACAAATAAGTTTCTCAGATTTCTTCTCTCTAGATTTTATGTGAAGATATTTCCTTTTCTACCATAAGATGCAAAGCGTTCCAATTGTCCATTGCAGATTCTACAAAAAGAGTGTTTCCAAACTGCTCAATCAAAAGAAAGTTTCAAATCTGTGAGATGAACGCATACATCACAAAGATGTTTCTCAGAATTCTTCTGTCTATTATTTATGTGAAAATATTAACTTTTCCACCATAGGCCACAAAGCGCTCCAAATGTCCACTTGCAGATTCTACAAAAAGAGGGTTTCAAAACTCCTCAATCAAGAGAAAGTTTTAACTCTGTGAGATGAATGCACACATCACAAAGAAGTATCTCAGATTGCTTCTGTGTAGATTTTATGTGAAGATATTTCCTTTTCTACCACAAGATGCAAAGTGCTACAAATGTACGCTTGCAGATGCTACAAAAAGTGAGTTTCGAAACTGCTCAATCAAATAAAGTTTTAACTCTGTAAAATGAATGTACACATCACAAAGAATTTCCTCATAAATGTCTTCTTTTGAGAAGTGTCTGTTCATGTCCTTCACCCACTTTTTGATAGGGTTCTTTGTTTTTTTCTTGTAAATTTGTTTGAGTTCATTGTAGATTCTGGATATTAGCCCTTTGTCAGATGAGTAGGTTGCGAAAATTTTCTCCCATTTTGTGGGTTGCCTGTTCACTCTGATGGTAGTTTCTTTTGCTGTGCAGAAGCTCTTTAGTTTAATTAGATCCCATTTGTCAATTTTGGCTTTTGTTGCCATTGCTTTTGTTGTTTTAGACATGAAGTCCTTGCCCATGCCTATGTCCTGAATGGTAATGCCTGGGTTTTCTTCTAGGGTTTTTATGGTTTGAGGCCTAACGTTTAAGTCTTTAATCCATTTTGAATTGATTTTTGTATAAGGTATAAGGAAGGGATCCAGTTTCAGCTTTCTTCATATGGCTAGCCAGTTTCCCAGCACCATTTATTAAATAGGGAATCCTTTCCCCATGGCCTGTTTTTCTCAGGTTTGTCATAGATCAGATAGTTGTAGATATACGGCATTACTTCTGAGGGCTCTGTTCTATTCCATTGATGTATATCTCTGTTTTGGTACCAGTACCGTGCTGTTTTGGTTACTGCAGCCTTGTAGCATAGTTTGAAGTCAGGTAGCGTGATGCCTCCAGCTTTGTTCTTTTGGCTTAGGATTGACTTGGTGATGCGGGCACTTTTTTGGTTCCATATGAACTTTAAAGTAGTTTTTTCCAATTCTGTGAAGAAAATCATTGGTAGCTTGATGGGGATGACATTGAATCTATAAATTACCTTGGGCAGTATGGCCATTTTCACGATATTGATTCTTCCTACCCATGAGCATGGAATGTTCTTCCATTTCCTTGTATCCTTTTTTATTTCCTTGAGCAGTGGTTTGTAGTTCTCCTTGAAGAGGTCCTTCATGTCCCTTGTAAGGTGGATTCCTAGGCATTTTATTCTCTTTGAAGCAATTGTGAATGGGAGTTCACTCATGATTTTGCTCTCTGTTTGTCTGTTATTGGTGTATAAGAATGCTTGTGATTTTTGTACATTGATTTTGTATCCTGAGACATTGCTGAAATTGTTTATCAGCTTAAGGAGATTTTGGCCTGAGACAATGGGGTTTTCTAGATATACAATCATGTCGTCTGCAAACAGGGACAATTAGACTTCCTCTTTTCCTAATTGAATACCCTTTATTTCCTTCTCCTGCCTGATTGCCCTGGCCAGAACTTCCAACACTCTGTTGAATAGGAGTGGTGAGAGAGGGCATCCCTGTCTTGTGCCAGTTTTCAAAGGGAATGCTTCCAGTGTTTGCCCATTCAGTGTGATATTGGCTGTGGGTTTGTCATACATAGCTCTTATTATTTTGAGATACGTCCCATCAATACCTAATTTATTGAGAGTTTTTAGCATAAAGCGTTGTTGAATTTTGTCAAAGGCCTTTTCTGCATCTATTGAGATAATCATGTTTTTTGTCTTTGGTTCTGTTTAAATGCTGGATTAGGTTTATTGATTTGCTTATATTGAACCAGCCTTGCATCCCAGGGATGAAGCCCATTTGATCATGGTGGATCAGCTTCTTGATGTGCTGCTGGATTCGGTTTGCCAGTATTTTATTGAGGAATTTTTGCATCAATGTTCATCAAGGATATTGGTCTAAAATTCTCTTTATTTGTTGCGTCTCTGCCCGGCTTTGGTATCAGGATGATGCTGGCCTCATAAAATGAGTTAGGGTGGATTCCTTCTTTTTCTATTCATTGGAATAGTTTCAGAAGGAATGGTACCAGTTCCTCCTTGTACCTCTGGTAGAATTCGGCTGTGATTCCATCTGGTCCTGGGCTATTTTTGGTTGGTAAGCTATTGATTATTGTCACAATTTCAGCTCCTGTTATTGGTCTATTCAGAGATTCAACTTCTTCCTGGTTTAGTCTAGGGAGAGTGTATGTGTCAAGGAATTTATCCATTTCTTCTAGATTTTCTAGTTTATTTGCATAGAGGTGTTTGTATTAATCTCTGATGGTAGTTTGCATTTCTGTTGGATCGGTGGTGATATCCCCTTTATAATTTTTTCTTGCGTCTATTTGATTTTTCTCTCTTTTTTTCTTTATAAGTCTTGCTAGTGGTCTATCAATTTTGTTGATCCTTTCAAAGAACCAGCTCCTGGATTCATTAATTTTTTGAAGGGTTTTTTGTGTCTCTATTTCCTTCAGTTCTGCTCTGATTTTAGTTATTTCTTGCCTTCTACTAGCTTTTGAATGTGTTTGCTCTTGCTTTTCTAGTTCTTTTAATTGTGATGTTGGGGTGTCAATTTTGGATCTTTCCTGCTTTCTCTTGTGGGCATTTAGTACTATAAATTTCCCTCACACACTGCTTTGAATGTGTCCCAGAGATTCTGGTATATTGTTTCTTTGTTCTCATTGTTTCAAAGAACATCTTTATTTCTGCCTTCATTTTGTTACGTATCCAGTAGTCATTCAGGAGCAGGTTGTTCAGTTTCCATGTATTTGAGTGGTTTTGAGTGAGTTTCTTAATCCTGAGTTCTAGTTTGATTGTACTGTGGTCTGAGAGACAGTTTGTTATAATTTCTGTTCTTTTACATTTGCTGTGGAGAGCTTTACTTCCAACTATGTGGTCAATTTTGGAATAGGTGTGGTGTGGTCCTGAAAAAAATGTATATTCTGTTGATTTGGGGTGGAGAGTTCTATAGATGTCTATTCGGTCCGCTTGGTGCAGAGCTAAGTTCAATTCCTGGATATCCTAAAAACACATGAAAAAATGCTCATCATCACTGGCCATCAGAGAAATGCAAATCAAAACCACAGTGAGATGTTATCTCACACCAGTTAGAATGACAATCATTAAAAAGTCAGGAAACAACAGGTGCTGGAGAAGATGTGGAGAAATAGGAACACTTTTACACTGTTGGTGGGACTGTAAACGAGTTCAACCATTGTGAAAGTCAGTGTGGCGATTCCTCAGGAATCTAGAACTAGAAATCTCATTTGACCCAGCCATCCCATTACTGGGTATATACCCAAAGGACTATAAATCATGCTGCTATAAAGACACATGCACACGTATGTTTATTGCGGCACTATTCACAATAGCAAAGACTTGGAACCAACCCAAATGTCCAACAATGATAGACTGGATTAAGAAAATGTGGCACATATACACCATGGAATACTATGCAGCCATAAAAAATGATGAGTTCATGTCCTTTGTTGGGACATGGATGAAACTGGAAATCATCATTCTTAGTAAACTATCGCAAAAACAAAAAAACAAACAAAGCATATTCTCACTCATAAGTGGGAATTGAACAATGAGAACACATGGACACAGGAAGGGGAACATCACACTCAGGGGACTGTTGCGGGTTGCGAGGAGGCGAGAGGGATAGCATTGGGAAATATACCTAATGCTAGATGACGAGTTAGTGTGTGTAGCTCACCAGCATGGCACTTGTATACATATGTAAGTAACCTGCAGTTTGTGCACATGTACCCTAAAACTTAAAGTATAATAATAATAATAAAAAAACAAGTTTATCAGATTGCTTCTGTCTAGATTTTATGTGACGATATATCCTTTTCTACCATAGCTGCAAAGCCCTCCAAATGTCCACTTGCTGATTCTACAAAAAGAGATTCCAAACTGCTCAATCAAAAGAAAGGTTCAACTCTGTGACATGAACACACACATCACAGAGAAGTTTCTCAGAATTCTTTTGTCTAGTTGTTATGTGAAGATAATTCCTTTTCCACCATAGGCCTCAAATCGCTCCAAATGTCCCCTAGCAGATCCTACAAAAAGGGTGTTTAAAAGCTGCTGAATCAAAAGAAAGTTTTAACTCTGTGAGATGAAAACGCACGTCACAAAGTTTGTCCGAATGCTTCTGTATAGTTTTTATATGAAGATATTTCCTTTTCCAATAAAGGCCTTAAAGCGCCCCAAATGTACACTTGCAGATTCTACAAAAAGAGTGTTTCAAAACTGCTCAATGAAAAGTAAGGTTCAACTCTCTGATGAATGCACACATCACAAAGAATTTTGTCAGAATCCTTCTGTCTAGTTTTTATGTGAAGGTATTTCCTTTTCCACCATAAGCCTCAAAGCACTCAAAATATCCACTTGCAGATTCTACAAAAAGAGTGATTCAAAGCTGCTCAATCGAAAGAAAGGTTAAACTCTGTGAGATGATTGCACACATCACAAATAAGATTGTCAGAATGCTTCTGTCTAGTTTTTTTGTGAAGATATTTCCTTTTACACTATAGGCCTCAAAGCCCTCCAAATGTCCACTTGCAGATTCTACAAAAACAGTGTTTCAAAACTCCACAATGAAAAGTAAGGGTCAACTCTGTGAGATGAATGCACACATCACAGACAAGTTTGTCAGAATGCTTCTATCTAGTTTTTATGTGATGATATATCCTTTTCCACCATAGGATACAAAGCGCTCCAAATGTCCACTTGCAGATTCAAAAAAAAGAGTGTTTCAAAGCTGCCGAATCAAAAGAAATGTTCAACTCGGTGAGATGAATGCACAGATCACAAAGAAGTTTATCAGAATGCTTCTGCCTGGTTTTTATGTGAAGATATTTCCGTTTCCACCATAGGCCTCAAAGGGCCCCAAATGTCCACTTCCAGATTCTACAAAAAAAGTGTTTCAAATCTGCTCAATCAAAAGTAAGGGTCACCTCTCTGAGACGAATAAAGAAATCACAAAGAAGTTTGTCAGAATTCTTGTGTCTAGTTTTTATGTGAAGATATTCCTTTGTTCACCATAGGCTTCAAAGCGCTTCAAAAGTCCACTCGCAGATTCTACAAAAAAGGTGCTTAAAGCTGCTCAATCAAAGGAAAGTTTCAACTCTGTGAGATGAATGCACACGTCACAAAGAAGTTTGTCAGAATGCTTCTTTCTAGTTTTTATGTGAAGATATTTCCTTTTCCACCATAGGCTTCAAAGCGCTCCAAATGTCCACTTGTAGATTCTACAAAAACATTGTTTCAAAACTGCACAATCAAAAGAAAGGTTCAACTCTGTGAGATGAATGCACACATCTCAAAGAAGTGTGTCAGAATGCTTCTCTCTAGTTATTACGTAAAGATACTTCTTTTTCCACCAGACACCAAAAAGCACTCCAAATGTCCACTTGCAGATTCTACAAAAAGAGTGTTTCAAAGCTGCTCAATCAAAAGAAAGTTCAACTCTGTGAGATGAATGCACACATCAAAAAGAAGTTTGTCAGAATGCTTCTGTCTGGTTTTTATGGGAAGATATTACCATTTCCACCATGGGCCTCAAAGCGCTCCAAATGTCCACATTCAGATTCTACAAAAAGAGAGTATGAAAGCTGGTCAATCAAAAGAAAGTTTCAACTCTGTGAGATGAATGCACACATCACAAAGAAGTTTGTCACAATGCTTCTGTCTAGTTTTTATGTGAAGATTTTTCCTTTTCCACCATTGGTCTCACAGCGCTCTAAATGTCCACTTGCAAATTCTACAATAACAGTGTTTCAAAACTGCTCAATGAAAAGTAAGGTTCAACTTTGTGAGATGAATGCACACATGATGAAGAAATTTGTCAAGATGCTTCTGTCTAGTTCTCATGTGAAGATATTTCCTTTTCCACCATAGGCCTCAAATCACTCCAAATGTCCACTTGCAAATAGTACAAAAAGCGTCTTTCAAAACTCCTCAATCAAAAGTAAGATTCAATTCTGTGAGATGAATGCACACATCACAAAGATGTTTGGTAGAATGCTTCTGTCTAGTTTTTATCTGAAGATATTTCCTTTTCCACCATAGGCCTCAAAGTGTTCCAAATGACCACTTGCAGATCCTACAAAAAGCGTGTTTCAAAGCTGCTCAATCTAAAGAAAGGTTCAACTCTGTGAGATGAATGCACACATCACAAAGAAATTTCTCACCATGCTTCTGTCTAGTTGTTAAAGGAAGATATTTCGTTATCCACCATAGGAATCAAGGCGCTCCAAATGTCTGCTTGCAGATTCTACAAAAAGAGTGTTTCAAAACTGCTCAATGAAAAGTAAGTTTCAAAACTGTGACATGAATGCACACATCACAAATAAGTTTGTCAGAATGCTTCTGAGTAGTTTTTATGTGAAGATATTTCCTTTTCCACCACATGCTTCAAAGCGCCCCAAATGACCACATGAAGATTCTGCAAAAAGGGTTTCAAAACTGCTCAACGTAAAGTAATGTTCAACTCTGTGAGATGAATGCACAAATCACAAAGAAGTTTGTCAGAATTCTTCTGTCTAGTTTTTATGTTAAGATATTTCCTTTTCCACCATAGGCCTCAAAGCGCACAAAATGTCCACTCGCAGTTTCTACAAAAATGGTGTTTCAAAGTTGCTCAATCAAAAGAAAGGTTCAACTCTGTGTGATGAATGTACCCGTCCCAAAGAAGTTTGACAGAATGCTTCTGCGTAGTTTTTATGTGAAGATATTCCTTTTCCACCATTGGCCTCAAAGCGCTCCACATGTCCACTTGCAGATTCTACAAAAAGAGTGTTTCAAAACTGCTCAATCAAAAGAAAGGTCCAACTCTGTGAGATGAATGCACACATCACAAAATTTTTTCATAATGCTTCTTTCTAGTTTTTATGTGAAGATATTTCATTTTCCACCATAGGCCTCAAAGTGCTCCAAATGTCTATGTGCAGATTCTACAAAAAGAGTGTTTCAAATTGGTCATTCAAAACTAATTTTCAACTCCATAAGATGAATGCACCCATTATGACGAAATTTGGCGAATCTTTCTCCATAGTTTTTATGTGAAGATATTTCCTTTTCCGCCATAGGCCTCAAAGCACTCCAAAAGTTCACTTGCAGATTCTACAAAAAGAGTGTTTTTAAGCTGCTCAAACAAAAGAAAAGTTCAACTCTGTGAGATGAATGCACACATCACAAAGAAATTTCTCATTATGCTTATGTCTAGTTTTTATGTGAAGATATTGCCTTTTCCATCATAGTCCTCAAAGTGCTCCAAATGTCCAGTTGTAGATTTTACAAAAAGAGTGTTTCAAAACTGTTCAATCAAAAGAAAATTTCAACTCTGTGACATGAATGCACACATCACAAAGAAATCGCTCAGAATGCTTCTGTCTAATTTTTAATTGAAGATATTTCTTTTTCCACCATAGGCCTCAAAGCACTCAAATGTCCACTTGCCAATTCTACAAAAAGAGGGTTTCCAAACTACTCAATCAAATGAAAGGTTCAACTCTGTGAGATAAATGCACACATCACAAAGGAATTTGTCAGAATGTTTCTGTCTAGTTTTTATGCGAAGATATTTCCTTCTCCACCATAGGCCTCAAAGCACTCCAAATATCCACTTCCAGATAGTACAAAAAGCGTGTTTCAAAACTGCTCAATCAAAAGCAATGTTCAACTCTATGAGATGAATGCACACATCACAAAGTATTTTCTCAGAATGATTCAGTCTAGTTTTTATGTGAAGATATTCCCTTTTCCACCATAGTTTGCAAAGTGCAGCAAATGTCCACTTGCAGATTCTACAAAAAGAGTGTTTCAAAGCTGCTCAATCAAAAGAAATATTCAGCTCTGTGAGAGGAATGCACACATCACAAAGAAGTTTCTCAGAATGCTTCTGTCTAGTTAATATGTGAAGATATTTTGTTTTGCATCATAGGCCTCAAAGCACTCCAAATGACCAATTGCAGATTCTACAAAATGAGTGTTTCAAAACTGCTCAATCGAAAGTAAGGTTCAACCATTTGAGATGAATGCAGACATCACAAAGAAGTTTGTCAGGTTGCTTCTGTCTAGTTTTTATGTGAGATGATTCCTTTTCCAACATAGGCTGCAAAGCGCTCCAAATGTCCAATTGCAGATTCTACAAAAAGAGTTTTTCCAAACTGCTCATTCATAAGAAAGGTTCAACTCTCTGAGATGAATGCACACATCACAAAGAAGTACCTCAGAAAGCTTCTGTCTAGTTTTAATGTGAAGATATTTCCTTTTCCAACATAGGCCTCTAAGTGGCCAAACGTCCACGTGGAAATTCTACAAAGAGTGTTTCACAACTACTCAATCAAAAGAAAGATTAAACTCTGTGAGATAAATTATCACATCAGTAAGAATTTTCTAAGAATGATCCTGTCTAGATTTTATGTGACTTTTTTACCTTTTCGACAATAGGCCTCAAAGCACTCCAAGTGTACACCTGCAGATTCTACAAAAAGGGTTTTTCAAAACTGCTCAATGCAAAGGAAGTTTCAACTCCATGAGATGAATGCATGCATCACAAAGGAGTTTGTCAGAATGTTTCAGAATAGTTTTTATGTGAAGATATTTCCTTTTCCACCATAGGTCACAAAGCCCTCCAAATGTCCATTTGCAGATTCTACAAAGAGAGTGTTTCAAAACTGCTCAATCAAAAGAATGGTTCAACTCTGTGAGATGAATGCACACATCACAAAGAAGTTTGTCAGAATGTTTCTGTCTAGATCTTAAGTGAAGATACTTCCTTTTCAACCATAGGCCTCATAGTGCTCCAAATATCCAGTTGCAGATTCTACAGAGAGTTACGAAATTACTCAATCGAAAGAAATGTTCTACTCTGTGAGATGAGTGCACACATCTCAAAGAAATTTGTCAGAATGCTTCTGTCTAGTTTTTATGTGAAGATATTTCCTTATCCACCATAGGCCTCAAAGCACTCCAAAAGTCCACTTGCAGATAGCACAAAAACTGTGTTTCAGAACTGGACAGAAACATTCTGACAAACTTCTTTGTGATATGTGCCTTCATCTCACGGAGTTGAACATTTCTGTTGATTGAGCACTTTTAAAACACTCTTTTTGTAGATTCTACAAGTGTACAATTGGAGTGCTTTGAGGACTACGGTGGAAAAGGAAATATCTTCACATAAAAATTAGACAGAAGCATTCTGACAAACTGCCTTGTGATGTGTGCATTCATCTCACAGAGTTGAACATTTCTTTTGATTGAACAGTTTTGAAACACTCTTGTTGTACAATCTGCAAGTGGACATTTGGAGCACTTTGAGACCTATGGTGGAGAAGGAAATATCTTCACATAAAAACGAGAAAAAAGAATTCTGAGAAACTCCTGTGCTGAGTGTGTTCATCTCACAGAGTTGAGCCTTTCTTTTTATTGAGCAGTTTGGAAACACTCTTTTTGTAGAACCTGCAAGTGGACATTTGGAACAATTTCAGGCATATGGTGAAAAAGGAAATATATTCACATAAAAACTAGACAGAAGGGTTCTGACAAACTTCTTTGTGATATGTGCATTCATCTCACCGAGGTGAACCTTTGTTTTGATTGAGCAGCTTTGAAACACTCTTTTTGTAGTATATGCAAGTGGACATTTGGAGCGCTTTGAGGCCTATAGTGGATAACCAAATATCTTCATATAATAACTAGACAGAAGCATTTTGAGAAACTTCTTTGTGATGTGTGCATTCATCTCACACTGATTTGAACCTTTCTTTTGATTGATCATCTTTGAAACACTCTTTTTGTAGAATCAGCAAGTGGACATTTGGAGTGCTTTGAGGCCTATGGTGGAAAAGGAAATATCTTCACATAAAAACCAGACAGAAGCATTCTGACAAACTTCTTTGTGATGTGTGCATTCATCTCACAGAGTTGAACCTTACTTTTCATTGAGCAATTTTGAAACACTCTTTTTGTAGAATCTGCAAGTGAGCAATTGGAGGACTTTGAGTCCTATTGAGGAAAAGGAAATGTCTTCACATAAAAACTAGACAGAAGCCTGCTGAGAAACTTCTTTGTGATGTGTGCATTCGTCTCACAGGGTTAAACCTTGCTTTTCATTGAGAAGCTTTGAAACACTCTTTTTGTAGAATCCACAAGTGGACATTTGGAGCACTATGAGGCCTATGGTGAAAAAGGAAATATCTTCACATAAAAACTAGACAGACCATTCTGACAAACTTCTTTGTGTTGTGTGCATTCATCTCACAGAGTTGAACCTTACTTTTCATTGAGCAGTTTTGAAACACTCTTTTTGTAGTGTCTGCAAATGGACATTTGGAGCGCTTTGAGGCCTATGGTGGAAAAGTAAATATCTTCAGGTTAAAAGTAGACAGATGCATTCTGAGAAACTTTTTTTGTGATGTGTGCATTCATCTCACAGAGTTGAACTTTTCTTTTGATTGAACAACTTTGAAACACTCTTTTTGTAGAATCTGCAAGTGGACATTTGGAGAGCTTTGAGGCCTATGGTGGAAAAGGAAAAATCTTCACATAAAAACTAGACAGAAGCATTCTGACAAACTTCTTTGTGATATGTGCATTCATCTCACTGAGTTGAATCTTACTTTTGATTTAGCAGTTTTGAAACACCCTTTTTGAAATATCTACAAGTGGACATTTGGTGAGCTTTGAGACATATGGTGGAAAAGGAAATATCTTCACATAAGAACTAGGCAGAAGGATTCTGAGAAATTCCTTTGTGATGTGTGCATTCATCTCAAAGAGTTGAACCTTACTTTCAATTAAGCAGTTTTGAAACACTCTTTTTTGTAGAATCTGCAAGCGGATATTTGCTGCACTTTGAGGCCTATGGTGGTTAATGAAATATCTTCATATAATAACTAGACAGAAGCATTATGACAAACTTCTTTATGATGTGTGCATTCGTCTCACAGAGTGGAACCTTTCTTTTGATTGAGCAGCTCTCAAACACTCTTTTTGTAGCATCTGCAAGTGGACATTTGGATCGCTTTGAGGCCTATGGTGGAAAAGGAAATATCTTCACATAAAAACAAGATAGAAGCATTCTGAGAAACTTCTTTGTTATGTGTGCATTCAGCTCAAAGAGTCGAACCTTTCTTTTGATGGAC
Organism: Homo sapiens; assembly: GCF_000001405.40. Taxonomy (NCBI): domain Eukaryota; kingdom Metazoa; phylum Chordata; class Mammalia; order Primates; family Hominidae; genus Homo; species Homo sapiens. The sequence goes on from NC_000022.11 coordinate 12,375,185, forward strand.
CAGTTTTGAAATACTGTTTTTGTAGGATCTGCAAGTGGACCTTTTGAGCGCCTTGAGGCCTACAGTGGAAAAGGAAATATCTTCACATAGAAACTAGAGAGAAGAATTCTGAGAAACTTCTTTGTGATGTGTGCATTCAGCTCACAGAGTTGAACCTTTCTTTTGATTGAGCAGTTTGGAAACACTGTTTTTGTAGGATCTGCAAGGGGCATTTGGAGTGCTTTTGGTTCTATGGTGGAAAAGGAAATAACTTCATATAAAATCTAGACAGAACTTCCAACACTATGTTGAATAGGAGTGGTGAAAGAGGGCATCCCTGTCTTGTGCCTGTTTTCAAAGGGAATGCTTCCAGTTTTTGCCCATTCAGTATGATATTGGCTGTGGGTTTGTCATAGATAGCTCTTATTATTTTGAAATATGTCCCATCAATACCTAATTTATTGAGAGTTTTTAGCATGAAGGGTTGTTGAATTTTGTCAAAGGCCTTTTCTGCATCTATTGAGATAATCATGTGGTTTTTGTCGTTGGCTCTGTTTATATGCTGGATTACATTTATTGATTTGCGTATATTGAACCAGCCTTGCATCTCAGGGATGAAGCCCACTTGATCATGGTGGATAAGCTTTTTGATGTGCTGCTGGATTCGGTTTGCCAGTATTTTATTGAGGATTTTTGCATCAATGTTCATCAAGGGTATTGGTCTAAAATTTCTTTTTTTTTGGTTGTGTCTCTGACAGGCTTTGGTATCAGAATGATGCTGGCCTCATAAAATGAGTTAGGGAGGATTCCCTCTTTTTCTATTGATTGGAATAGTTTCAGAAGGAATGGTACCAGTTACTCCTTGTACCTCTGGTAGAATTCGGCTGTGAATCCATCTGGTCCTGGACTCTTTTTGGTTGGTAAGCTATTGATTATTGACACAATTTCAGATCCTGTTATTGGTCTATTCAGAGATTCAACTTCTTCCTGGTTTAGTTTTGGGAGAGTGTATGTGTCGAGGAATTTATCCTTTTCTTCTAGATTTTCTAGTTTATTTGCATAGAGGTGTTTGTAGTATTCTCTGATGGTAGTTTGTATTTCTGTGGGATCGGTGGTGATATCCCCTTTATCACTTTTTATTGCATCTATTTGATTCTTCTCTTTTTTTTTCTTTATTAGTCTTGCTAGCGGTCTATCTACTTTGTTGATCCTTTCAAAAAACCAGCTCCTGGATTCATTAATTTTTTGAAGGGTTTTTTGTGTCTATTTCCTTCAGTTCCGCTCTGATTTTAGTTATTTCTTGCCTTCTGCTAGCTTTTGAACGTGTTTGCTCTTGCTTTTCTAGTTCTTTTAATTGTGATGTTAGGGTGTCAATTTTGGTTCTTTCCTGCTTTATCTTGTCGGCATTTAGTACTATAAATTTCCCTCTACACACTGCTTTGAATGCGTCCAGAGATTCTGGTATGTCGTGTCTTTGTTCTCATTGGTTTCAAAGAACATCTTTATTTCTGTGTTCATTTCGTTATATACCCAGTAGTCATTCAGGAGCAGGTTGTTCAGTTTCCATGTAGTTGAGCAGCTTTGAGTGAGATTCTTAATCCTGAGTTCTAGTTTGATTGCACTGTGGTCTGAGAGAGAGTTTGTTATAATTTCTGTTCTTTTACATTTGCTGAGGAGAGCTTTACTTCCAACTACGTGGTCAATTTTGGAATAGGTGTGGTGTGGTGCTGAAAAAAATGTATATTGTGTTGATTTGGTGTGGATGGTGCTGGGAAAACTGGCTAGCCATATGTAGAAAGCTGAAACTGGATCCCTTCCTTACACCTTATACAAAAATCAATTCAAGATGGATTAAAGACTTAAACGTTAGACCTAAAACCATAAAAACCCTAGAAGAAAACCTAGGCAATATCATTGAGGACATAGACATGGGCAAGGTCTTCATGTCTGAAACACCGAAAGCAATGGTAACAAAAGCCAAAATTGACAAATGGGATCTAATTAAACTAAAGAGCTTCTGTACAGCAAAAGAAACTACCATCAGAGTGAACAGGCAACCTACAAAATGGGAGAAAATATTCACAACCTACTCATCTGACAAAGGGCTAATATCCAGAATCTACAATGAACTTAAACAAATTTACAAGAAAAAAACAAACAACCCCATCAAAAAGTGGGCAAATGACATGAACAGACACTTCTCAAAAGAAGACATTTATGCAACCAAAAAACACATGGAAAAATGCTCATCATCACTGGCCATCAGAGAAATGCAAATCAAAACCACAATGAGATACCATCTCACACCAGTTAGAATGGCAATCATTAAAAAGTCAGGAAACTACAGGTGTTGGAGAGGATGTGGAGAAATAGGAACACTTTTACACTGTTGGTGGGACTGTAAACTAGTTCAACCATTGTGGACGTCAGTGTGACGATTCCTCAGGGATCTAGAACTAGAAATACCATTTGACCCAGCCATCCCATTACTGGGTATATACCCAAAGGACTATAAATCATGCTGCTATAAAGACACATGCACACGTATGTTTATTGTGGCACTATTCACAATAGCAAAGTCTTGGAACCAACCCAAATGTCCAACAATGATAGACTGGATTAAGAAAATGTGGCACATATACACCATGGAATACTATGCAGCCATAAAAAATGATGAGTTCATGTCCTTTGTAGGGACATGGATGAAATTGGAAATCATCATTCTCAGTAAACTATCAGAAGAACAAAAAACTAAACACTGCATATTCTCACTCATAGGTGGGAATTGAACAATAAGATCACATGGACACAGTAAGGAGAACAACACACTCTGGGGACTCTGGTGGGGTGGGGAGATGGGGGAGGGATAGCTATGGGAGACATACCTAATGCTAGATGACGAGTTGGTGGGTGCAGCGCACCAGCATGGCACATGTATACATATGTAACTAACCTGCACAATGTGCACATGTACCCTAAAACTTAAAGTATAATAATAAAAATAAATAAATAAATAAATAGAACAAAAAATCTAGACAGAAGCAATCTGAGAAACTTTTTGTGATGTGTGCTTTCATCTCACAGACTTAAACCTTCCTTTTGATTGAGCAGTTTTGGAAATCTCTTTTTGCAGAATCTGCAAGTGGACATTTGGAATGCTTTTAGGCCTATGGAAGAAAAGGAATTATCTTCACATAAAAACTAGACAGAAGAATTCTGAGAGAATTCTTTGTGATGTGTGCATTCATCTGGCAGGGTTGAACCTTTCTTTTGATTGAGCAGTTTGGAAACACTCTTTTTGTAGAACCTGCAAGTGGACATTTGGAGCGTTTTGTGGCCTATGGTAGAAAAGGAAATATCTTCACAAAAAATCCAGACAGAAGCAATCTGAGAAACGACTTTTTCTTGTGTGCATTCATCTCACAGAGTTAACCATTTCTTTTGATTGAGCAGTTTTGAAACTCTCTTTTTGTAGAATCTGCAAGTGGACATTTGGAGCACTTTGAGGCCTATGGTGTAAAAGGAAATACCTTCACATAAAAACTGGATAGAAGCATTCAGAGAAACTTCTTTGTGATGTGTGCATTCATTTCCCAGAGTTGAACCTTTTTTTTGATGGACCAGTTATGAAATAATCTTTTTGTAGAATTTGCAGTTGGACATTTCGAGCACCTTGAGGCCTATGGTGGAAAATGAAATATCTTCACATAAAAACTAAACACAAGTATTCTGAGCAACTTCTAGGTGATGTGTGCGTTCATCTCACAGAGTTGGACCTTTCTTTTGATAGAGAAATTTGTAAACCCTCTATTTGGAGAATCTGCAAGTGGACATTTGGTGTGCTTTGCCACCTATGGTAGAAAAGGGACTATCTTCACATAAAATCTAGACATAAGCAATCAGAGAAACTACTTTGTGTTTTGTGCATGCCCCTGAGAGTTAAACCTTTCTTTTGATTGAGGAGTTTTGAAACTCTCTTTTTGTAGAATCCGCAAGTCGATATTTGGAGGGCATTAAGGCCTCTGGTGGAAAAGGAAATATCTTCACATAAAAACTAGACAGAAGAATTCTGAGCAACTTCTCTGTGATGTGTGCATTCATCTCACAGAAGTGAACCTCTTTTTTGATTGAGCTGCTTGGAAACATTCTTTTTGTGGAATCTACAAGTGGATATTTGGAGCACTTTGGGGCCTGTGGTAGAAAAGGAAATATCTTCACATAAAATCTAGACAGAAGCAACCTGACAAACGTCCTTGTGATGTGTGCTTTCATCTAAGAGAGTTAAACCTTTCTTTGGATTGAGGAGTTTTGAAACTCTCCTTTTGTAAAATCTGCAAGTGGATATTTGGAGCGCTTTGAGGCCTATGGTGGAAAAGGAAATATCTTCACATAAAAACTAGACAGAAGAGTTCTGAGAAACTTCTTTGTGATGTGTGCGTTCATCTCACAGAGTTCAAAGTTTCTTTTCATGGAGCAATTTGGAAACACTCTTTTTGTAGAATCTTCAAGTGGACATTTGGAGGGCTTTGAGGCCTCTGGTGGAAAAGCAAATATCTTCACATGAAAACTGGAGAGAAGAATTCTGTGAAACTTTTTTCTGATGCGTACGTTCATCTCACACAGATGAACCTTCCTTTTGATTGAGCAGTTTGGAGACACTCTTTCTGTAGAATCTGCAAGTGGACATTTGGAGCCCTTTGCCGCCCATGGTAGAAAAGGAAGTATCTTCAAATAAATCTCTGCCGAAGCAACCTGAGAAACTTCTTTGTGATGTGTGCATTCATCTCATAGAGTTAAACATTTCTTTTGATTGAGCAGTTTTGAAACTCTCTTTTTGTAGAATCTGCAAGTGGACATTTGGATCACTTTGAGGCCTATGGTGGAAAAGGAATTATCTTCACATAAAAACTAGACAGAAGAATTATGAGAAACTTCCTTGTGATGTGTGCATTCATCTGACAGAGTTGAACCTTTCTTTTGATTGAGCAGTTTGGAAAATCTCTTTTTGTAGATTCTGCAAGTGGACATTTTGAGGGCTTTGAGGACTAAGGTGGAAAAGGAAATATCTTCACATCAAAGCTAGACAGAAGAATTCTGAAAAACTTCCTTGTGAAGCATGCATTCATCTCACAGAGTTGAACCTTTCTTTGGTTTGAGCAGTTTGGAAACACTCTTTTTGTAGAATCTGCCAGGGGACATTTGGAGTGTGTGGCGGCCTATGGTAGAAAGGGAAATATCTTCATATAACGTCTAGACAGAAGCAATCTGAGAAACTTCTTTGTGAAGTGGGCATTCATCTGACAGTGTTAAACTTTTCTTTTGATTGAGCAGTTTGGAAACTCTCTTTTTGTAGAACCTGCAAGTGGCCATTTGGAGCGCTTTGAGTTCTATGTTGGAAAAGGAAGTATTCTCACATAAAAACTAGACAGAGGTATTCTGAGAAACTTCTTTTTGATGTGTGCATTCATCTCAAAGAGTTGAACATTTCTTTTGATTGAGGAGTTTTGAAAAACTTCATTTTGTAGAATCTGCAAGTGGACATTTGGAGTGTTTTGCAGACTATGGTAGAAAAGGAAATATCTACACATAAAATCTAGACAGAAGCTATCTGAAAAACTTCTTTGTGATGTGTGTCTTCATATTCCAGAGTTAAACCTTTCTTTTGATTGAGTAGTTTTCAAACTCTCTTTTTGTGTAATCTGCAAGTGCACATTTGGAGGGCTTTGAGGCCGATGGTGGAAAAGGAAATATCTTCAATAAAAACTAGATAGAAGCATTCTGAATAACTTCTTCATGATGTGTGCATTCATATCCCAGAGTTGAACCTTTCTTTTAATGGACCAGTAACGAAATACTCTTTTTGTAGAATCTGCAAGTGGACATTTCGAGCACCTTGAGGCCTTTAGAGGGAAAAGAAATACTTTCACATAAAAACGAGACAGAAGAGTTCTGAGAAACTTCTTTGTGATGTGTGCGTTCATCTCACAGAGTTCAAAGTTTCTTTTCATGGAGCAATTTGGAAACACTCTTTTTGTAGAATCTTCAAGTGGACATTTGGAGGGCTTTGAGGCCTCTGGTGGAAAAGCAAATATCTTCACATGAAAACTGGACAGAAGAATTCTGTGAAACTTTTTTCTGATGTGTGCATTCATCTCACACAGATGAACCTTCCTTTTGATTGAGCAGTTTGGAGACACTCTTTCTGTAGAATCTGCAAGTGGACATTTGGGGCCCTTTGTGGCCAATGGTAGAAAAGGAAGTATCCTCATATAAATCTCTGCTGAAACAATCAGATAAGCTTCTTTGTGATGTGTGCATTCATCTCACAGAGTTGAACCTTTCTTTTGATTGAGCAGTTTTGAAACACTCTTTTTGTAGAATGTGCAAGTGGATATTTGGAGCCCTTTGTGGCCTATGGTAGAAAAGGAAATATCTTCACATAAAGATTACACAGAAGCATTCTGAGAAACATGTTTGTGTTGAGTGCATTCAGCTCACAGAATTGAACCTATGTTTTGTGGGAATTGAACAATGAGATCACATGGACACAGGAAGGGGAACATCACACTCTGGGGACTGTTGTGGGGTGGGGGGAGGGGGGAGGGGTAGCATTGGGAGATATACCTAATGCTAGATGACGAGTTAGTGGGTGCAGCACACCAGCATGGCACATGTATACGTATGTAATTAACCTGCACAATGTGCACATGTACCCTAAAACTTAAAGTATAATAATAAAAAAAAGAAATTAAAAAAAAAGAATAGAAAACATGGAAAAAAAAGGAATTGAACCTATGTTTTGATTGAGCAGTTTTGAAACACTCTTTTTGTAGAATCTGCAAGTGTAAATTTGGATCGATTTGACGCCTATTGTGCAAAAGGAAATATCTTCACATAAAAGCTACACAGCAGCATTCTGAGAAACTTCTTTGTTTTGTGTGCATTCAACTCACGGAGTCGAACCTATCTTTTGATTGAGCAGTTTTGAATCTCTCTTTTTGCATAATCTGTGAGTGGATATTTGGAGAGATTTGAGGTCTACTGTGGAAAAGGAAATATCTTCACAGAAAAACTACACAGAAGCATTCTGAGAAACTTCATGGTGATGTGCACATTCATCTCACAGAGATGAATCTTTCTTTTCATTTAGCAGTTTTGAAACACTCTGTTTGTAGAATCTGCAAGCGGATAATTGGAGCGCTTTGAGGCCTATTGTTGAAAAGAAAATATCTTCACATGAAATCTACACAGAAGCATTCCAAGAAACCTCTTTGCGATGTGTGCATTCATCTCACAGAGTTGAACCTTCCCTTTGATTGAGCAGTTTTGAAAAACTTTTTATGTAGAATCTGCAAGTTGATATTCGGAGCACTTAGATTCCTATTGTGGAAAAGGAAATATCTTTACATATAAACTGCACAGAATCATTCTGAGAAACATCTGTGTGATGTGTGCATTCATCTCACAATGTTGAACCTTTCTTTTTATTCAGCAGTTTTGAAACTTTCTGTTTGTAAAACAGAAAACTACACGGAAGCATTCTGAGAAACACCTTTGTTAAGTGTGCATTAAACTCACAGAGTTGAAACTTTCTTTTGATTGAGCAGTTTTGAATCTCTCTTTTTGTAGAATCTGCAAGAGGATATTTGGAGCCCTTTTCGGCCTATGGTGGAAAAGGAAATACCTTCATATAAAAACTACAAAAAAGATTTCTGAGGAACTTCTATGTCATGTGTACCTTCATCTCACAGAGTTGAACCTTTCTTTTGATTGAGCAGTTTGGAAACACTCTTTTTGTTGTATCTACAAGTGAATGTTTGGATCACTTTGAAGCATATGGTAGAAAAGGAAACATCTTCACATAAAAACTACACAGAGGCATTCTGAGAAACTTCTTTGTGATGTGTGCTTTCATCTCAAATTGTTGAACCTATCTTATGATTGAGCAGTTTTGAAACACTCTTTTTGTAGAATCTGCAAGTGTTTATTTGGAGCCGATGTGGCCTATTGTGAAAAAGGAAATATCTTCACATAAAAACTACACAGAAGCATTCTGAGAAACCACTTTGTGATATGTGCATTAAACTCACAGAGGTGAACCTATCTTTCCATTGAGCAGTTTTGATTCCCTCTTTTTGTAGGATCTGCAAGTGGACATTTGGAGCCCTTTGTGGCCTATGGAGAAAAAGGAAATATCTTCAAATAAAAACTACCCAGAAGCATTCTGAGGAACTTCTTTGCTATGTATGCATTCAACTCACAGAGTTGAAACTATCTTATGATTCAGCAGTTTTGAAGCACTGTTTTTGTAGAATCTTCAAGTGGATATTTGGAGCGCTTTGAGGCCTACTGTGGAAAAGCAAATATCTTCACAAAAATCTTCACAGAAGCATTCTGAGAAACTTCTTTGTGATGTGTGCATTCAACTCATGGAATCGAACCTATATTTTGATGGAGCAGTTTTTAATCTCTCTTTTTGCAGAATCTGCAACTGGATATTTGGAGAGCTTTGAAGCCTAGTGTGGAAAAGGAAATATCTTCACATAACAACTACACAGAAGCATTCTGAGAAACTTTTTGTGATGTGTGCATTCAACTCACAGAGTTGAACCTATCTTTTGATTGAACAGTTTCGAATCACTCTTTTTGTAGAATCTGAGAGTGAATATTTGCAGCGCTATTAGGTCTATTGTGGAAAAGGAAATATTTTCACATAAAAACTACACAGAATCTTTCTGAGAAATTTCTTTGTTACAAGTGCATTCATCACACATAGTTGAAACTTTCCTTTTGATTGAACAGTTTTGTAACGCTCTTTATGTAGAAACTGAAAGTGGATATTTGGAGGGCTTTGAGGTCTATTTTGGAAAAGGAAATATCTTCACATCAAAACTACACAGAAGCATTCTGAGAAACTTCTTTGTGATGTGTACATTCAGCTCACAGTGTTGAAACTATCTTTTGATAGAGCAGTTTTGAAACACTCTTATTGTAGAATCTGCAAGTGGATATTTGGAGCGCTTTGAGGCCTATTGTGGAAAAGGAAATATCTTCATGTAAAAACTACACGTAGGCAGTCTGAGAAACTTCTTTATGATGTGTGCATTCATCATAAAGATTTTAACTTCTTTTGATTGAGCAGATTTGAAACACTCTTTTTGTAGAATCTGCAGGTGGATATTTGGAGGGTTTTGAGGCTTATTTTGGAGAAGGAAATATCTTCACATAAAGACTACACAGAAGAATTCTCAGAAACTTCTTTGTGATGTGTGCATTCAACTCACAGAGTTGAACCAATGTCTTAATGGAACAGTTTTGAATCTTTTTGTGGAATCTTCAACCGGATATTTGGAGCCCTTATCGGCCTATGGTGGAAAAGGAATTATCTTTAAATAAACTCTACACGGAGGAATTGTGAGAAATTTCTTTGTGATGTGTGAACTCATCTCACAGAGTTGAAATTTTCTTTAGATTGAGCAGTTTTGAAATGCTGTTTTTGTAGAATCTGCAAGTGGATATTTGGAGTGCTTTGAGGCCTATTGTGGAAAAGGAAATATCTTCACATCAAAACTACACAGAAGCATTCTGAGAAGCTAATTTGTGATGTGTGCATTCATCTCACAGTGTTGAAATTTTCTTTTGATTGCGCAATTCTGAAACGTTGTTTTCATAGTATCTGCAAGTGGATATTCGGAGCGTTTTGAGGCCTACTGTGGAAGAACAAATATCTTCACATAAGAACTACACTGAGGCATTCTGATAAACTTCTTCATGATGTGTGCATTCAACTCACATGGTTGAAACTATCTTTTGATTGGGCAGTATTTAATCTCTCTTTGTAGAATCTGCAACTGGATATTTGGTGCCCTTTTTGGCCTATGAATGAAAAGGAAATATCTTCAAAGAAAAGGTACACAGAAGCATTCAGAGAAACTTCTTCATGATATGTTCTTTCAACTCACAGAGGTGAACCTTTCATTTGATTGAGCAGTTTTGAAACACTCTCTTTGTAGAATCTGTAAGTGGATACTTGGAGCGTTTTGAGGCCTACTGTGGAAAAGGAAATATCTTCACATAAAAACTACACAGAAGATTTCTGGGAAACTTCCCTGTGATATGTGCATTCCTCTCACAGAGTTGAATATTTCTTTTGATTGAGCAGTTTGGAAACCCTCTTTTTGTAGCGTCTGCAAGTGGATATTTGGAGCAATTGAGGCCTACTCTGAAAAAGAAAATATCTTCACATAAAAACAACACAGAGGCATTCTGAGAAACTTCTTTGAGATGTGTGCCTTCATCTCACAGAGTTGAACATTTCTTTTGATTGAGCAGTTTTGAAACATCTTTTTGTAGAATCTGCAAGCAGATATTTGGAGCCCTTTGTGGCCTAAGGTGGAAAAGGAAATATCTTCAAATAAAAACTACACAGAAGCATTCTGAGAAACTTCTTTTTGATATGTGCATTAAACTCACAGAGGTGAACCTATCTTTTCTTTGAGCAGTTATGAATCCCTCTTTTTGTACGATCCACAAGTAGACATTTGGAACCCTTTGCAGCCTATGGAGGAAAAGGAAATATCTTCAAATAAAAACTACCCAGAAGCATTCTGAGGAACTTCTTTGTTATGTGTTCATTCAACTCACAGAGTTGAACCTATCTTGTGATTCAGCAGTTTTGAAACACTGTTTTTGTAGAATCTTCAAGTGGATATTTGGAGCGTTTTGAGGCCTACTGTGGAAAAGCAAATATCGTCACATAAAAACTTCACAGAAGCATTCTGGGAAACTTCTTTGTGATGTCTGCATTCATCTCACACAGTTGAACCTGTCTTATGATTGAGCAGTATTGAAACAATCTTTTTGTAGAATCCACAAGTGGATATTTGGAGTGCTTTGAGGCCTATTGTGGAAAACGAAAAATCTTAACATAAAAACTACACAAAAGTATCCTGATAAACTTATTTGTGATGTATGCATTTATCTCACAGATTTGAAACTATCTTATGATTTAGCAGTTATGAAACACTCTATTTGTAGAATCTGCAAGTGGATATTTGGGGCCTTTTGAGGCCTATTGTGGAAAAGGAAATATCTTCACATAAAAACTACACAGAAGCATTCTGAGAAACTTCTTTGTGATGTGTGCATTCATCTCACAGGTTTGAACCTATTTTATAATTCAGCAGTTTTGAAACACTCTATTTGTAGAACATGCAAGTGGATATTTGGAGCTCTTTGAGGCCAACAGTTGAACAGCAAATATATTTACATAAAAACTACACAGAAGCATTCTGAGAAACTTCTTTGTGATGTGTGTATTCATCTTACAGAGTTGAACCTTTCTTTTTATTGAGCAGTTTTGAAACACACTTTTTGTAGAATTTGCAAGTGGATATTTGGAGGGCTTTGAGGCCTGTTTTGAAAAAGGAAATATCTTCACGTAAAAACTACACAGAAGCATTCTGAGAAAATTCTTTGTGATGTGTGCTTTCATCTCACAGAGTTGAAACTTTCTTTTGATTGAGCAGTTTTGTAACACTCTTTTTGTAGAATCTGCAAGAGGATATTTGGAGCGCTTTGAGGCCTACAGTGGAATAGGAAATATCTTCACATAAAAACTACACAGAAGCATTCTGAGAAACTTCTTTGTGATGTGTGCATTCATCTCACAGAGTTGAACTTTTCTTTTGATTGAGTAGTTTTGAAACACTCCAATTGTAGAATATGCAAGTGGATATTTGGAGCACTTTGAGGCCAACAGTTGAACACAAATATATTTACATAAAAACTACACAGAAGCATTCTGAGAAACTTCTTTTTGATGTGTGCATTTATCTCACACAGTTGAACTTTTATTTTGTTTGAGCAGTTTTGAAACACTCTCTTTGTAGAATCTGCAAGTGGCTATTTGGAGGGCTTTGAGGCCTATTTTGGAAAACGAAATATCTTCACATAAAAAATATACAGAAGCATTCTGAGAAAATTCTTTGTGATGTGTGCATTCATCTCACAGAGTTGAACCTTTTTTTGATTGAGCAGTATTGAAACACTGTTTTTGTATAATCTGCAAGTGGATATTTGGAACGCTTTGAGGCCTATTGTGGAAAAGAAAATATCTTCACTTAAAGACCACACAGAAGCATTCTGAGAAACTTCTTTGTGATGTGTGAATTCAACTCACTGATGTGAATCTAACTTTTGATGAACAGTTTTGAAACTCTCTTTTTATAGTATCTGCAGTTGTATATTTGGAGCCCTTTGAGGCCTATGGTAGAAAAAGAAATGCCTTCACATGAAAACTACACAGAAGTATTCTGAGAAATTCCTTTGTGATGTGTGCATTCAACTCACAGATTCGAACCTATCTTTTGATTGAGCCATTTTGAAACTGTCTTTTTCTATTATCTGCAAGTGGATATTTCTAGCCTTTTGTGGCCTATTGTGGAAAAGGAAATGCCTTCACATAAAAAACAAACAGAAGTATTCTGAGAAACTTCTTTGTGATCTGTGCATTCATCTCACAGGGATGAACCTTTCTTTTGATTGAGCAGTTTTGAAACAATCTTTTTGAAGTATCTGCAAGTGAATATTTGGAGCACTTTGAGGCCCATTGTGTAAAAGAAATATCTTCACATAAAAACTACACAGAAGCTTTCTGAGAAACTTCTCTGTGATGTGTGCATTCAACTCATGGAGTTGAACCTATTTTTTCATTGAACAGTTTTGAAACTCTCTTTTTGTAGAATCTGCAAGTGGATATTTGGAGCCATTTGTGGCCAATGGTGGAAATGGGAATATCTTCAACTAAAAACTACATGGAAGCATTCTGAGAAACTTCGTGGTGATGTGTGCATTCATCTCACAGAGATGAATCTTCCTTTTCGTTTAGCAGTTTTGAAACACTCTGTAGAATCTGCAAGTGGATAATTGGAGCACTTTGAGGCCTATAGTTGAAAAGAAAATATCTTCACATGAAATCTCCACAGAAGCATTCCGAGAAACCTCTTTGTGAAGTGTGCATTCATCTCACAGAGTTGAACCTTTCTTTTGATTGAGCAGTTTTGAAAAACTCTTTTTGTAGAATCTGTAAGTTGATATTTGGAGCGCTTAGGTTCCTATTGTGGAAAAGGAAATATCTTCACATTAAAGCTGCACAGAATCATTCTGAGAAAGTTCTGTGTGATGTGTGCATTCATATCACAGTGTTGAACCTTTCTTTTCATTCAGCAGTTTTAAAACTTTCTTTTTGTAGAATCTGCAAGTGGATATTTGGAGCTCTTTGAGGCCTATGGTGGAAATGGAAATATCTTCACATAAAAACTACAAAGAAGCATTCTGAGAAACATCTCTGTTAAGTGTGCATTAAAGTAACAGAGTTGAAACTATCTTTTCATTGAGCAGTTTTGAATCTCTCTTTTTGTAGAATCTGCAAGAGGATATTTGGAGCCCTTTGCCACCTACGGTGGAAAAGGACATACCTTCACATAAAAACTACAAAAAAGATTTCTGAGGAAATTCTTTGTGATGTGTGCCTTCATCTCACAGAGTTGAACCTTTCTTTTGATTGAGCAGTTTGGAAACACTCTTTTTGTAGTATCTACAAGTGGATGTTTGGAGCCCTTTGTGGCCTATGGTGGAAAGGGAAATATTTTCACATAAAAACTACACAGAAGCCAACTGGCAAATGAGGTGGCAGTCAAGATGGCCAAATAGGAACAGCTCGGTTCTACAGCTCCCAGCCTGAGTGACACAGAAGTTGGGAGATTTCTTCATTTCCATCTGAGATACCTGGTTCATCTCATTAGGAAGTGCCAGACAGTGGGTGCAGGATAGTGGGTGCAGCGTACCATGTGTGGGCAGAAGCAGAGCGAGGCATTTCCTCACTTGGGAAGTGCAAGTGGTTAGGGAGTTCCCTTTCCTAGTCAAATAAAGGGGCGACAGATTGCACCTGGGAAATCTGGTCACTCCCACACTAATACTGTACTTTTTCAACGGGCTTAAAAAATGGCGCACCAGGAGATTATATCCCACATCTTGCTTGGAGCGTCCTATGTCCACGGTGTCTCACTGATTGCTAGCACAGCAGTCTGTGATCAAACTACAAGGTGGCAGTGAGGCTGGGGGTGGGGCACCCCCATTGCCCAGGATTGCTTAGGTAAACAAAGCTGCTGGAAACTCGAAGTAGGTGTAGCCCACCACAGCTTTCGGTGGCCTGCCTGCCTCTGTAGGCTCCACCTCTGGGGGCAGGGCACAGACAAACAAAAAGATAGCAGTAACCTCTGCAGACTTAAATGTCCCTGTCTGACAGCTTTGAAGAGAGCAGTGGTTCTCCCAGTACACAGCTGGAGATCTGAGAATGGGCAGACTGCCTCCTCAATTGGGTACCTGACCCCTGAACCCCGAACAGCCTAAGTGGGAGACACCCCCCAGTAGGGTCAGACTGACACCTCACACTGCCGTGTACTCCTCTGAGACAAAATTTCCAGAGCAAAGATCAGACAGCAGCGCTTGTGGTTCATGAAAATCCGCTGTTCTGCAGTCACCGCTGCTGACACCCAGGCAAACAGGATCTGGAGTGGACCTCTAGCAAACTCCAACAGACCTGCAGCTGAGGGTCCTGTCTGTTAGAAGGAAAACTAACAAACAGAAAGGACATCCACACCAAAAACCCATCTGTATATCACCATCATCAAAAACAAAAAGTAGATAAAACCACAAAGATGGGAAAAAACAGAGCAGAGAAACTAGAAACTCTAAAAAGCAGAGTGCCTCTCCTCCTCCAAAGGAATGCAGTTCCTCACAAGCAATGGAACAAAGCTGGATGGAGAATGACTTTGACGAGCTGAGAGAAGAAGGCTTCAGACGATCAAATTACTCCGAGTTACAGGAGGAAATTCAAACCAAAGGTAAAGAAGTTAAAAACTTTGAAAAAATTTAGACGAATGTATAACTAGAATAACCAACATAGAGAAGTGCTTAAAGGAGCTGATGGAGCTGAAAGCCAAGGCTCCAGAACTACGTGAAGAATGCAGAAGCCTCAGGAGCCGATGCGATCAACTGGAAGAAAGGGTATCAGTGATGGAAGATGAAATGAATGAAATAAAGTGAGAAGGGAAGTTTAGAGAAAAAATAAAAAGAAATGAACAAAGACTCCAAGAAATATGGGACTATGTAAAAAGACCATATCTATGTCTGATTGGTGTACCTGAAAGTGATGTGGAGAATGGAACCAAGTTGGAAAACACTCTGCAGGATATTATCCAGGAGAACTTCCCCAATCTAGCAAGGCAGGCCAACATTCAGATTCAGAAAATACAGAGAATGCCACAAAGATACTCCTCGAGAAGAGCAACTCCAAGACACATAATTGTCAGATTCACCAAAGTTGAAATGAAGGAAAAAATGTTAAGGGCAGCCAGAGAGAAAGGTGGAGTTACCCTCAAAGGGAAGCCCATCAGCCTAACAGCAGATCTCTTGGCAGAAACTCTACAAGCCAGAAGAGAGTGTGGGCCAATATTCAACATTTTTAAAGAAAAGAATTTTCAACCCAGAATTTCATATCCAGCCAAACTAAGCTTCATAAGTGAAGGAGAAATAAAATACTTTACAGACAAGCAAATGCTGAGAGATTTTGTCACCACCAGGCCTGCCCTAAAAGAGCTCCTGAAGGAAGCACTAAACATGGAAAGAAACAACCAGTACCAGCCACTGCAAAATCATGCCAAATTGTAAAGTCCACTGTGGCTAGTAAGAAACTGCATCAACTAACGAGCAAAATAACCAGCAAACATCATAAGGACAGGATCAAATTCACACATAACAATATTAATTCTAAATGTAAATGGACTAAATGCTCCATTTAAAGACACAGACTGGCAATTTGGATAAAGAGTCAAGACCCATCAGTGTGCTGTATTCAGGAAACCCATCTCACATGCAGAGATACACATAGGCTCAAAATGAAAGGATGGTGGAAGATCTACCAAGTAAATGGAAAGCAAAAAAAGGCAGGGGTTGCAATACTGTCACTGATAAAACAGACTTTAAACCAACAAAGATCAAAAGAGACAAAGAAGGCCATTACATAATGGTAAAGGGATCAATTCAAGAAGAAGAGCTAACTATCCTAAATACATATGCACCCAATACAGGAACACCCAGATTCTTAAAGCAAGTCCTGAGTGATGTACAAAGAGACTTAGACTCCCACACAATAATAATTGGAGACTTCAACACCCCACTGTCAATATTAGACAGATCAACGAGATAAAAAGTTAACAAGGATACCCAGGAATTGAACTCAGCTCTGCACCAAGCAGACCTAATAGACATCAACAGAACTCTCCACCCCAAATCGAAAGAATATACATTTTTTTCAGCACCACACCACACCTATTCCAAAATTGACCACATAGTTGGAAGTAAAGCTATCCTCAGCAAATATAAAAGAACAAAAATTATAACAAACTGTCTCTCAGGCCACAGTGCAATCAAACTAGAACTAAGGATTAAGAAACTCACTCAAAACTGCTCAACTACATGGAAACTGAAAAACCTGCTCCTG
The DNA here is from genome assembly GCF_000001405.40 of Homo sapiens. NCBI lineage: Eukaryota > Metazoa > Chordata > Mammalia > Primates > Hominidae > Homo > Homo sapiens. The sequence goes on from NC_000022.11 coordinate 12,391,728, forward strand.
AATGACTACTGGGTACATAACAAAATGAAGGCAGAAATAAAGATGATCTTTGAAACCAACGAGAACAAAGACACAACATACCAGAATCTCTGGGACACATTCAAAGCAGTGTGTAGAAGGAAATTTATAGCACTAAATGCCCACAAGAGAAAGCAGGAAAGATCCAAAATTGACATCCTAACATCACAATTAAACGAACCAGAAAAGCAAGAGCAAACGCATTCAAAAGCTAGCAGAAGGCAAGAAATAACTAAAATCAGAGCAGAACTGAAGGAAATAGAGACACAAAAAACCCTTCAAAAATTAATGAATCCAGGAGCTTGTTTTTTGAAAAGATCAACAAGATTGATAGACCGCTAGCAAGACTAATAAAGAAGAAAAGAGAGAAGAATCAAATAGACGCAATAAAAAATGATAAAGTGAGTATCACCATTGATCCCACAGAAATACGAACTACCATCAGAGAATACTACATACACCTCTACACAAACAAACTACAAAATCTAGAAGGAATGGATAAATTCCTTGACACATACACCCTCCCAAGACTAAACCAGGAAGAAGTTGACTCTTTGAATAGACCAATAAGAGGCTCTGAAATTGTGGCAATAATCAATAGCTTACCAACCAAAAAGAGTCCAGGACCAGATGGATTTACAGCCGAATTCTACCAGAGGTACAAGGAGGAACTGGTACCATTCCTTCTGAAATGATTCCAATCAATAGAAAAAGAGAGAATCCTCCCTAACTCATTTTATGAGGCCAGCGTCATCCTGATACCAAAGACGGGCAGAGACACAACCAAAAAACCAAATTTTAGACCAATATCCTTGATGAACATTGATGCAAAAATCCTCAATAAAATACTGGCAAACCGATTCCAGAAGCACATCAAAAAGCTTATCCAATATGATCAAGTGGGCTTCATCCCTGGGATGCAAGGCTGGTTCAATATATGCAAATCAATAAATGTAATCCAGCATATAAACAGAATCAAAGACAAAAACCACATGATTATCTCAATAGATGCAGAAAAGGCCTTTGACAAAATTCAACAACACTTCATGCTAAAAACTCTCAATAAATTAGGTATTGATGGGACGTATCTCAAAATAATAAGAGCTAGCTATGACAAACCCACAGCCAATATCATACTGAATGGGCAAAAACTGGAAGCATTCCCTTTGAAAACTGGCACAAGACAGGGATGCCCTCTCTCACCACTCCTATTCAACATAGTGTTGGGAATTCTGGCCAGGGCCATTAGGCAGGAGGAGGAAATAAAGGGTATTCAATTAGGAAAAGAGAAAGTCAAATTGTGCTTGTTTGCAGATGACATGATTGTATATCTAGAAAACCCCATTGTCTCAGCCCCAAATCTCCTTAAGCTGATAAGCAACTTCAGCAAAGTCTCAGGATACAAAATCAATGTACAAAAATCACAAGCATTCTTATACACCAATAACAGACAAACAGAGACAAATCATGAGTGAACTCCCATTCACAATTGCTTCAAAGAGAATAAAATATGTAGGAATCCAACTTACAAGGGACGTGAAGGACCTCTTCAAGGAGAACTACAAACCACTGCTCAATGAAATAAATGAGGATATAAAGAAATGGAAGAACATTCCATGCTCATGGGCAGGAAGAATCAATATTGTGAAAATGACCATACTGCCCAAGATAATTTATAGATTCAATGTCATCCCCATCAAGCTACCAATGACCTTCTTCACAGAATTGGAAAAAACTACTTTAAAGTTCATATGGAACCAAAAAAGTGCCCGCATCAACAAGTCAATCCTAAGCCACAAGAACAAAGCTGGAAGCATCAGCCTACCTGACTTTGAACTATACTACAAGGCTACAGTAACCAAGACAGCATGGTACTGGTACCAAAACAGAGATATAGATCAATGGAACAGAACAGAGCCCTCAGAAATAACACTGCATATCTACAACTATCTGATCTTTGATAAACCTGAACAAAACAAGTAATGGGGAAAGGATTCCCTATTTAGTAAGTGGTGCTGGGAAAACTGGTTAGCCATATGTAGAAAGCTGAAACTGGATCCCTTCCTTATACCTTATACAAAAATTAATTTAAGATGGATTAAAAAGTTAAACGTTAGACCTAAAACCATAACAATCCTAGAAGAAAACCCAGGCATTACCATTCAGGACATAGGCATGGGCAAGGACTTCATGTCTAAAACACCAAAAGCAATGGCAACAAAAGCCATAATTGACAAATGGGATCTAATTAAACTAAAGAGCTTCTGCACAGCAAAAGAAACTACCAGCAGAGTGAACAGGCAATATACAAAATGGGAGATAGTTTTCACAACCTACTTATCTGACAAAGGGCTAATATCAAGAATCTACAATGAACACAAACAAATTTACAAGAAAAAAACAAACAACCCCTTCAAAAAGTGGGTGAAGGACATGAACAGACACTTCCCAAAGAAGACATTTATACAGCCAAAAACACATGAAAAAATGCTCATCCTTAACTGGCCACCAGAGAAATGCAAATGAAAACCACAATGAGATACCACCTCACACCAGTTAGAATGGCAATCATTAAAAAGTCAGGAAACAACAGGTGTTGGAGAGGATATGGAGAAATAGAAAGACTTTTACACTGTTGGTGGGGCTGTAAACTAATTCAGCCATTGTGGAAGTCAGTGTGGCGATTCCTCAGGGATGTAGAGCTAGAAATACAATTTGAGCCAGCCATCCCATTACTGGGTATATACCCAAGGACTATAAATCATGCTGCTTTAAAGACACATGCACATGTATGTTTATTGCAGCGCTATTCGCAATAGTAAAGACTTGGAACCAACCCAAATGTCCAACAATAACAGAGTGGATTAAGAAAATGTGGCACATATACACCATGGAATACTATGGAGCCATACAAAAATGATGAGTTCATGTTCTTTGTAGGGACATGGATGAAATTGGAAATCATCATTCTCAGTAAACTATCGCAAGGACAAAAAACCAAACACTGCATGCTGTCACTCATAGGTGGGAATTGAGCGATGGGAACACATGGACACAGGAAGGGGAACATCACACTCTGATGTGGGGTGGGGGGAGGGGGGACGGATAGCATTAGGAGATATACCTAATGCTAAATGACGAGTTAATGTGTGCAGCACACCAATATGGCACATGTACACATATGTAACTAACCTGCACAATGTGCACATGTACCCTAAAACTTAAAGTATAATAATAATAAAATAAAATAAATTTAAAAAAAAAACTACACCACAGTACTCTGAGAAACTTCTTTGCGATGAATGCATGCAACTCTCAGAGTTGAACATATCTTTTGATTGAACAGTTTTGAAAATATATTTTTGTAGAATCTGGAAGTGGATATATGGAGCCCTTTGAGGCCTATAGTGCAAAAGGAAACATCTTCACATAAAATCTACACAGAAGCGTTCTGAGAAATTTCTTGGTGATGTGTGCATTCATCTCACAGAGTTGAATATTTCTTTTGATTGTGCAGCTTGAAACACTGTTTTTGTGGAATCTGCAAGTGGATACTTGGAGTGCTATGTGGCCTATTGTGGAAAACGAAATATCGTCACATAAAAACTTCACAGAAGCATTCTGTGAAACATTTTTGTTATTGTGTATTCAACTCACAGAGTTGAACCTGTCTTTTTAGAGAGCAATTTTGAAACTGTCTTTTCATAGAATCTGCAAGTGGATATATGGAGCCCTTTGGGCCTATGGTGTAAAAGGAAATATCTTCACAAAAAAACTACACAGAAGCATTCTGAGAAACTTCTCTGTGAAGGGTGCATTCATCTCACAGACTTGAACCTTTCTTTTGATTGAGCAGTTTGGAAACTTTTTTTTATAGAATCTGCAAGTGGATATTTGGAACGCTTTGGGGACTATTGTGGAAAAGGAAATATCTTCACATAAAAATTACACAGAAGCATTCTGAGAAGCTTCTTTGTGATGTGTGCATTCATCTGACAGAGTTGAAACTTTCTTTGTCTGAGCAGTTTGGAAACACTCTTTTTGTAGAATATGCAAGTGGATATTTGGAGCCCTTTGAGGCTTATGGTGGAAAAGGAAATATCTTGAGATAAACACTACACAGGAGCATTCTGAAAAACTGCTTTGTGATGTGTGCATTCATCTCACAGAGTTGAATTTTTCTTTTGATTGAGCAGTTTTGAAACGCTCTTTTTGTGGAATGTGAAAGTGGATATTTGGAGGGTTTTGAGGCCTACGGTGGAAAAGGAAATATCTTCACATAAAAACTACAAAGAAGGATTCTGAGAAACTTATTTGTAATGTGTGCATTCAACTCACAGATTTGAACATATCTTTGGATTGAGCAGATTTGAAATTGTCTTTTTGTGCAATCTGCAAGTGGATATTTTGAGCCATTTGTGGCCTATGGTGGAAAAGGAAATATCTTCAGATAAAAACTACACAGAAGCATTCTGAGAAACTTCTTTGTGATGTGTACATTCATCTCACAGAGTAGAAACTTTCTTTTGATTGAGCAGTTATGAAATACCCTTTTTGTAGAATGATCATGTGGATATTTGGAGGGCTTTGAGGCCTACTGTGGAAAAGTTAATATCTTCACGTAAAAAGTACTCAGAATCATTCTGAGAAACTTCTTTGCGATTTGCGAATTCATCTGACTGACTTCAACCTTTCTTTTGTTTGGACAGTTTAGAAACACTCTTTTTATGGAATCTGCAAGTGAATATTTGGAGGGATTTGAGGCCTATGGCGGAAAAGAAAATATCTTTACATAAAAACTACACAAAAGCATTCTGAGAAACTTCTTTGTGATGTGTGCATTCAACTCACAGAGCTAAACCTATCTTTTGATGGACTAGTTTTGAAACTCTCTTTTGTAGAATCTGCAAGTGGATATTTGGAGTTCTTTGACGCCTATTGTGGAAAAGAAAATATCGTCACATAAAAACTACCCAGAAGCATTCTGAGAAACTTCTTTGCGATGTGTGCATTAATCTCAAGGAGTTGAACATTTCTTTTGGTTGTGCAGCTTGGAAACACTGTTTTTCTAGAATCCGCAAATGGATATTTGGAGCGCTATGTGGCCTATGATGGAAAAGGAAATATCTTCACGTAAAAACTTCACAGAAGCATTCTGAGAAACTTCTTTGTTATGTTTGTATTCAAGTCACAGAGTTGAACCTATCTTTTGATACAGCAGTTTTGAAACTCTTTTTGTAGAATCTGCAAGAGGATATTGGGAATCCTTTGCAGCCTATGGTGTAAAAGGAAATATCCTCACATAAAAACTACACAGAAGCATCCTGAGAAACTTCTTTGTGATGTGTGCATTTATCTCACAGCGTTGAACTTTTCTTTTGATTGTGCAGTTTGGAAACACTTCTTTTGTAGAATCTGTACGTGGGCATTTGGAGGGTTTTGAGTCCTATGGTGGTAAAGAAAGTGTCATCACATGAAAAATACACAGAGTCATTCTGAGAAACTTCTTTGTGACGTGTGGATTCACCTCCCAGAGTTGAACCTATCATTTGATTAAGAAGTTTTGAAACTCTCTTTTTGTAGAACCTGCAAGTGGATATTTGGAGCCATTTGTGGCCTCTGGTGTAAAAGGAAATATCTTCACTTTAAAACTACACAGAAACATTCTGAGAAATTTCTTTGTGACGTATGCATTCATCTCACAGATTTGAAATTTTCTGTTGATTCAGCAGTTTTGAGACACTTTTTTTGTAGAATCTGCAGTTGGATATTTGGAGCGCTTTAAGGCCTATTGTGGAAAAGGAAATATCTTCACATAAAAACTATACAGAAACATTCTGAGAAACTTCTATGTGATGTGTGCATTCATCTCACAGAGTTGAACCTTTCTTTAGTTTGAGCAGTTTGGAAACACTCTTTTTGTAGAATTTGCAATTTAATATTTGGAGCACTTTGAGGACTATGGTGGAAAAGGAAATACCTTCACATAAAAACTACACAAAACTATTGTGACAAACCTCTTTGTAATGTGAGCATTCATCTCACAGATTTGCACCTTTCTTTTGATTGAGCAGTTTGAAACTCTCTTTTTCTGTAATCCTCCAGGGTATATTTGGAGCATTTTGTGGCCTATGGTAGAAAAGGAAATATATTCTCATAAAAAGTACACAGAAGCATTCTGAGAAACTTCTCTGTGATGTATTCATTCAACTCACAGAATTGAACCTATTTTTTGATTGAGATTATTTTTCAATAATCTGCAAGTAGATATTGGGAGCCCTTTGCGGCCTAATAAGGAAAAGGAAATATCTTCACATAAAAACTACACAGAAGAATTTTGAGAAACTTCTTTGTGATGTGTGCATTCATCTCAGAGTGTTGAACGTTTCTTTTGATTGAGCAGTTTGGAAACACTCTTTTTGCAGAATGTGCAAGTTGATATTTGTAGCGCTTTGAGCCCTCCAGTGGAAAAGGAAATATCTTTACATAAAAACTACACAGAAGCATTCTGAGAAATTTCTCTGTGATCTGTGCATTCAACTCACAGGGTTGAATCTATCTTTTGATTGAGCAGTTTTGAGTCTCTCTGTGGAATCTGCAAGAGTATATTTGGAGCCCTTTGCGGCCTGTGGTGGAAAAAGAAATATCATCATATAAAAACTTCACAGAAGCATTCTGAGAAAGTTTTTGTGATGTGTGCATTCATCTCACGGAGTTGAACCTATCTTTTGATTGGGCTGTTTTGAAACTCTCTTTTTGAAGAACCTGGAATCGGTATTTGGAGGCCTTTGTGGCATATGGTGCAAAAGGAAACATCTTTACATAAAAACTACACAGAAGCATTCTGAGAAACTTTTCTGTGATGTGTGCATTAAACTCACAGAGTTGAAGCTACCTTTGATTGATCAGTTTTGAATCTCTCTTTTTGTAGAATCTGCAAGTGGAAGTTTGGAGCCCTTTGCGGCCAATGGTGGAAAAGGAGATATCTTCAAATGAAAACTACAGAGAAATATTCTGAGAAACTTCTTGTTGTTGTGTGCATTCATCTCACACACCTGAACCTATCTTTTGATTGAGCAGTTTTGAAACCCTCTGTTTGTAGAATCTGAAAGTGGATATCTGGAGCGCTTTGGTGCCTATTGTGGAAAAGGAAATATCATCACAAAAAAACTACACGGAAACATTCTGAGAAACTTCTTTGTCATGTAGGCATTCATCTCACAGAGTTGAACCTTTCTGTTGATTGAGCAGTTTTCACATTCTTTTTGTAGAGTCTGCAAGTGGATATTTGGAGCGCTTTGAGGTCTATTGTGGAAAAGGAAATATCTTCACAGAAAAATTACACAGAAGCATCCTGAGGAAGTTCTTTGTGATGTGTGCATTCATCTGACAGAGTTGAACATTTCTTTTGTTTGATCAGTTTGGGATCACTCTTTTTGTAGAATCTGCAAGTGGATATTTGGAGTGTTTTGAAGTCTACGGTGTAAAAGTAAATATCTACACATAAAAACTACACAGAAGGACTCTGAGAAAATTCTTTGTGATGTGTGCATTCTTGTCACAGAGTTGAACCTATCTTATCATTGAGCAGTTTTGAGACACTCTTTTTGTAGAAACTGCAAGTGGATATTTGGAGTGCTTTGAGGTCTATTGAATAAAATGAACTATCTTCATATAAAAACTACACAGAATCATTCTGAGAAACTTCATTGTGATGAGTGCATTCATAACACAGAGTTAAACCTATTTTTGATTCAGTAGTTTTGAATCTCTCTTTTTGTATAATCTGCAAGTAGATATTTGGAGCCCTTTTCAGCCTATGGAGGAAAAGGAAATATCTTGAAATAAAAACTACATGGAGGCATTCTGAGAATCTTCTTTGTGATGTGTGCATTCACCTCACAGTGTTGAACCTTTCTTTTGGTAGAGCAGTTTTGAAACACTGTTTTTGAAAAATCTGCAAGAGGATATTTTGAGCTCTTTGAGGCCTATTGTGGACCAGAAAATATGTTCACATAAAAACTATAAGGAGGCATTCTGAGTAACTTCATTTGATGTGTAAATTCAACGAACAGAGATGAACCTATCTTATGATTGAGCAGTTTTGAAACACTCTCTTTGTATAATCTTCCAGTTGATATTTGAAGCGCTCTGAGGCCTGTTGTGGAAAAGAAATATCTTCACATAAAAAGTGCACAGAAGCATTCTGAGAATCTTCTTTGTGATGTGTGCATTCATCTCACAGAGTTGAATCTTTCTTTTGTTAGGGCAGTTTTGAAACACAGTTTTTGTAAAATCTGCAAGAGGATATTTTGAGGGCTTTGATGTCTATTGTGGAAAAGTCAATATTTTCACACAAAAACTATGCAGAGGCATTCTGAGTAACTTCTTTGTGATGTGTGCATTCATCTCACAGAGTTGAACCTTTCTTTTGATTGAGCAGTTTTGAAACTCTTTCTGTAGAATCTGCAAGTGGATATTTTGAACACTTTGAGGACTATAGTGGAAAAGGAAATATCTTCACATAAAAACTACACAGAAGCATTCTGAGAAACTTCTTTGTGATGTGTGCATTCATCTCACAGAGTTGAGCCTTTCTTTTGATGGAGGAGTTTTGAAACCCTCCTTTTGTAGATTCTGCAAGTGGATATTTGGTGTGCACTGAAGCCTATTGTGGAAAAGGCAATATCTTCACATAAAAACTACACAGAAGCATTCTGAGAAACTTATTTTTGATGTGTGCACTCATCTCACATAGTTGAACCTTTCTTTTCATTAAGAAGTTTTGAAACACAGTTTTTGTAGAATCTGCAAGTGGATATTTGGAGAGATTTGAGGTCTACTTTGTAAAAGCAATTATCTTCACATAAAAACTACACAGAAGCATTCTGAGAAAATTTTGTGATGTGTGCATTCATCTCACACAGTTGAAACATTATTTTGATTGAGTAGTTTTGAAACACTCTTTCTGTAGTATCTGCAAGTGGATATTTTGAGCATTTTGAGGCCTATAGTGGAAAAGGAAATATCTTCACATAAAAACTACACAGAATCATTCTGAGAAACTACTTTTTATGTGTGCATTCATCTCACAGAGTTGAATCTATGTTATGGTTTAGCAGTTTTCAAACACTCTCTTTGTAGAATCTACAAGTGGATCCTTGGAACGATTTGAGGCATATTATGGAAAAGGAAGTATGTTCACATAAAAACTACACAAAAGCATTCTGAGAAAGTTATTTGTGATGTGTGCATTAAACTCACAGTCTAATCTGTCTTTTGATTGAGCAGTTTCTAAATACTGTTTTTGTAGAATCTGCAAGTGGATATTTGGTGGACTTTGAGGCCTATTTTGGAAAAGGAAATATCTTCACATAAAAACTACACAGAAACATTCTGAGAAACTTCTTTGTGATGTGTTCATTCAACTCACAGACTTGAACCTATATTTCGATTGAGCAGTTACGGATTTCTCTTTTTGTAGGATTTGCAAGTGGATATTCGGAGTCCTTTGTGGTCCATGGAGGCAAAGGAAATATCTTCAAATAAAAACTACACAGAAGCATTCTGAGAAACTTCTTTGTGATGTGTGCATTCATCTCACAGAGATGAACCTATCTCATGACTGAGCAGCTTTGAAACACTCTCTTTGCAGAATCTTCAGGTGGATATTTGGAGCGCTTTGTGGCCTATTGCATAAAAGGAAATATCTTCACATAAAACCTACACATAATTATTCTGAGAAACTACTTTGTGATGTGCGTATTCATCTAACAGAGTTGTACGTTTCTTTTGATTGAGCCGTTTTGAAACACTCTTTTTATAGAATCTGCAAGTGGATATTTGGAACGCTTTGAAGCCTACTGTGGAAAAGCCAATATCTTCACGTAAAAACCACACAGAAGCATTCTGAGAAATATCTCTGTGATGTGTGCATTCATCCCACAGAGTTGAAAGTTTCTTTTGATTGAGAACTTTTGAAACACACTTTTTGTAGAAACTGCAAGTGGATATTTGAAGCCCTTTGCAGCCTATGGAGGAAAAGGAAATATCCTGAAATAAATACTACACAGAAGCATTCTGAGTAACTTCTTTGTGATGTGTGCATTCATCTCATAGATTGGAACCTATCTTATGATTGAGTAGTTTTGAAACACTCTCTTTGTAGAATCTGCAAGTGGAAACTTGGACGATTTCAACCCTATTGTAGAAAAGGGAATATCTTCACAAAAAAAACTTCACAGAAGCATTCTGAGAAACTTCTTTGTGATGTGTGCATTCAATCTCACAGAGATGAATATTGCTTTTGATTGTGCAGTTTTGAAACACTGTTTTTGTAGAATCTGCAACTGGATATTTGGAGCCCTTTGTGGCCTATATGGGAAAAGGAAATATCTTCAGATAGAAACTACACAGAAACATTATGAGAAACTTCTTTGTGATGTGTGCATTCATCTCACAGAGTTGAACTTTTGTTTTGATTGAGAAGTTTTGAAATACTCTCTTTGTAGAAACTGCAAGTTGCTATTTGGAGCCCTTTACGGCATATGGTGAAACAGGAAATACCTTCACATAAAAACTACACAGAAGCATTCTGAGAAACTTCTCTGTGATGTTTGCATTCATCTCACAGAGTTGAACCTTTCTTTTGTTTGAGCAGTTTTGAAACACTCCTTTTGTAGAATCTGCAAGTGGATATTTGGAGCGCATTGAGGCCTATTGTAGAAAAGGAAATATCTTCACATAAAAACTACACAGAGGCATTCTGAGAAACTTCTTTGTGATGTCTGCATTCAACTCACAGAATTGAACGGATCTTTTGATTGAGCGGTTTTGAAACTCTCTTTTTGTAGAATCTGGAAGTGGGTATGTGGAGCTGATTGTGGCCTACGGTTTAAAAGGAAATATGTTCACATAAAAACTGCACAGAAGCATTCTGAGAAACTTCTTTGTGATGTGTGCATTCATCACAAAGAGTTGAATGTTTCTTTTGATTGAACAGTTTGGAAAAACACTTTTTGTAGAATCTTCAAGTGGATATTTAGAGAGATTTGAGGCCTCCAGGGGAAAAGGAATTATCTTTACGTAAAAACTACACAGAAGCATTCTGAGAAACTTCTTTGTGTTGTGTGCACCCATCTCACAGAGTTGAACATTTCTTATGATTGTGCAGTTTTGAAACCCTCTTTTTGTAGAATCAGCAAATAGATATTTGGAAAGATTTGAGGTCTATTGTGGAAATGGAAATATCTTCACATAAAAACTTCACAGAAGAATTATGAGAAACTTCTTTGTGATGTGTGCATTCAACTGACAGATTTGAACCTATGTTTTCATTTAGCAGTTTTGAAACTCTCTTGTCGTAGAATCTGGAAGTGGGTATTTGAAGTCGTTTGCGTCCTATGGTGGAAAAGGAAATATCTTCATTAAAAAACTACACAGAATCATTCTGAGAAACTTCTTTGTGATGTGTGCATTCTTTTCAAAAGGTTGAAAATATCTTTTAATTGAGCAGTTTTGGATCTCTCTTTTTGTAGAATCTGCAAGAGAATATTTTGAGCCCTTTGTGGCCTATGTTGTAAAAGGAAATGTCAACACATAAAAACTACACAGAAGAATTCTGAGAAACTTCTTTGGGATGTGTGCGTTCTTCTCACAGAGTTGAACTTTTCTTTTCATTGAGCAGTTTTGAAACACTATTTTTGAAGAATCTGCAAGTGGATATTTGGAGCGCTTTGAGGCCTATTGTGGAAAAGGAAATATCTTCACAAAAAAACTACACAGAAACATTCTGAGAAACTTCTTTGTGATGTGTGCATTACTCTCACAGAGTTGAACCATTCTTTTGGTTGAGCAGTTTTGAAACAATGTCTTTGTAGTATCTGCAAGTGGATACTTGGAACACTTTGAGGCCTATTGCGGAAAAGGAAATATCTTCACATAGAAACTATACAGTAGAATTCTGTGAAACTTCTTTGTGATGTGTGCATTCAACTCACAGAGTTGAACCTTTCTTTTGAGTGACCAGTTTGGAAACATTCTTTTTGTAGAAACTGCAAGTGGATATGTGGAGCCTTTTGCGGCCTAAGGTGGAAAAGGAAATATCTTCACATAAAAACTACACAGAAGCATTCTGACAAACTACCTTGTGATGTGTGCATTCATCTGACAGAGTTGAACCTTTATTTTGATTGAGCAGTTTTGAAACACTCTTTTGTAGAATCTGCAAGTGGATCTTTGGAGAGCTTTGAGGCCTATTGTAAAAAAGAAAATATCTTCACATAAAAACTACACAGAAGGAGTCTGAGATACTTTTTGCAACGTGTGCGTTCATTTCACCTTTCTTTTGACTATGCAGTTTGGAAATACTCTTTTAGTGTGATCTGCAAGTGGCTATTTGCAGTGCTAGGAGGCATATTGAGGAAAAGGAAATATCTTCCCATAAAAAATACACAGAAGCATTCTGAGAAACTTATTTGTGATGTGTGCATTCAACTCACGGAGTTGAACCTATCTTTTGATAAGCAGTTTTGAAAATCTCTTTTTTTGGAATCTGCAGGTGTATATTTGGAGCGCTTTGAGGCCTATGGTGTAAAAGGAAATATCTTCACATAAAAACTACACAGAAGCATTCAAAGAAACTTCTTTGTGATGTGAGCATTCTACTCACAGAGTTGAACTTATCTTTTTATCGAGGAGCTTTGAAAATCTCTTTTTGTAGAATCTGCAAGTGGATATTTAGAGCCCCTTGCTGCCTGTGGTGGATAAAGAAATATCTTCACATAAAAACTTCACAGAAGCATTCTGAAAAAACTTCTTGGTGATGTGTGCATTCATCTCACAGAGTTCAACATTTCTTTTGATTGAGCTGTTTTGAAACACTATTTTTGTAGAATCTGCAAGTGGCTATTTGGAGCACTTTGAGGCCTATTGTGGAAAAGGAAATATCTTTGCATGAAAACAACACAGAAACATTCTGACAAATTTCTTTGCGATGTGTGCGTTCATCTCACAGAGTTGAACTTTTCTTTTGATTGAGCAGTTTTCAAACACTGTTTTTGTAGTACCTCTAAGTGGATATTTTGAGCACATTGAGGCCTATGGTGGAAAAGGATATATCTGCACATAAAATCTACACAGAAGCATTCTGAGAAACTTCTTTCTGATGTGTGCATTCAAATCACAGATTTGAACCTATCTTTTGATTGCACAGTTTTCAAACTCTCTTTTTGTATAATCTGCAAGTGGATATTTGGAACTCTTTGTGGCCTCTGGTGGAAAAGGAAATAACTTCACATAAAAACTACACAGAAGCATTCTGAGAAACTTCATTGTCATGTGTGGATTCATCTCAGAGAGTTGAACCTTTCTTTTCACTGAGCACTTTTGAAACAGACTTTTTGTAAAATCTGCAAGTGGATATTTGGAACCCCTTGAGACCTACTGTGGAAAAGAAAATATCTTTACATAAAAACAACACAGATGAATTCTGAGAAACTTCTTTGCAAGGTGTGCATTCATCTCACATAGTTCAACTTTCTTTTGATTGAGCAATTTTGAAACGCACTTTTTGTAGAATCTTCAACTAGATATTTGGAGTGCATTGAGGCCTATGGTGGAAAAGGAAATATCTTCATATAAAGCTGCACAGAAGTATTCTGAAAAACTTCTTTGTGAAATGTTCGTTCAACACACTGTGGTGAACATTTCTTTTCATTGAGCAGTTTTGAAAACCACTATTTGAAGAATCCGCAAGTGGATATTTGTAGTGCTTAGAGGCCTATTGTGGAAAAGGAAATGTCCTCACATAAAAACTACACAGAAGCATTCCGAGAAGCTTGTTTGTGATGAGTGCATTCAGCTCACAGAGTTGAACCTATCTTTTGATAGAGCAATTTTGAAACTCTCTTTTTGTAGAATCTGCAAGTGGATATTTGGAGCCCTTTATGGCCTATGGTGGAAAAGGAAATATCTTCACATAAAAACTACACAGAAGCATTCTGAGAAATGTCTTTTTAAGTGTGCATTCATGTCACAGAGCACTTTGAGGCCCATTGTGGAAAAGGATATATCTTCACATAAAAAAGACACAGAAGCATTCTGAGAAACTTCTGTATAATATGTGCATTCATCTCCCAGAGTTGTAACTTTCTTTTGATTGAGCATATTGGAAACACTCTTTTAGTAAAATATACAAGTGGATACTTGGAGCGCTTTGAGGCCTATTATAGAAATGGAAATATCTTCACGTAAAAATTAAACAGAAGCATTCTGAGAAACTTCTTTGAGATGTGTGCATTGAACTCAGAGTTGTACCTATCTTTTGATAGAGGAGTTTTGAAACTCTCTTTATGTATAATCTGCAAGTGAATATTTGGAGCCCTTTGTGGCCTATGGTGTAAAAGGAAATACCTTCACATAAAAACTACACAGAAGCATTCTGAGAAACTTCTTTTTGTTGTGTGCATTCATCTCAAAGAGATGAACCTTTAATTCGATTGAACAATTTTGAAACGCTCTTTTTGTAGAATCTGCAAGTGGATATTTGGAACGCTTTGGAGAGAATGGTGGAAATGAAAATATCTTCATATAAAAACTATGGAAAGCATTCTGAGAAACGACTTTGTGATGTGTGCATTCACATCACAGTTGAACCTTTCTTTTGATTGTGCAGTTTTGAAACTCTCTTTTTGTAGAATCTGCAAGTAGATACTCGGAGGACTTTGTGGAGTATTGTGGAAAAGGAAATAACTTTGCATAAAAGCTACACAGACGCATTCTGGGAAACTTCTTTGTGATGTGTTCATTCAACTCACAGAGTTGAACTTTTCCTTTGATTGAGCAGTTTTGAAACACTATTTTTTTTTTTAAATCTGCAAGTGGATATTTGGTGTGCTTTGTGGCCTGTGGTGGAAAAGCAAATATCTTCACGTAACAACCAGACAGAAGCATTCTGAGAAACTTCTTTGTGATGTGTGCATTCATCTCACAGTAGTTGAACTTTTCTTTTGATTGAGCAGTTTTGAAACACTCTTCGTAGAATCTGCAAGTGCATATTTAGAGTGCTTTGAGGCGTGTGGTGGAAAAGGAAATATCTTCACATAAACACTAGACAGAAGCATTCTAAGAAATGTCTCTATGATGTGTCCATTCATCTCACAGAGTTGAAACTTTCTTTTCATTGAGCAGTTTTGAAACACTCTTTTTATGGCATCTGCAAGTGGATATCTGGAGCGCTTTGGAGAGAATGATGGAAATGGAAATATCTTCATATAAAAACTACGGAGAAGCATTCTGAGAAACGGCTTTGTTATGTGTGCCTTCAACTCACAGAGTTGAAACTTTCTTTTGATTGAACAGTTTTGAATCCCGCTTTTTGTAGAATCTGCAAGTGGATATTTGGAGAGCTTTGGGGCCTATGGTGGAAAAGGAAATATCTTCACATAAAAACTACACAAAAGCATTCTGAGAAACTTCTTTCTGATATATGCATACAACTCACTGAGTTGAACCTTTCTTTTGATTGTGCAGTTTTGAAACACTTCTTTTGTAGAATCTGCAAGTGGATATTCAGAGGACTTTGAGAAGTATAGTGGAAAAGGAAATAACTTTGGACAAAATCTAGACAGAAGCATTCTGAGAAACTTCTTTGTGATGTGTGTATTCAACTCACAGAGTTGAACCTTTCTTTTGATTGAGAAGTTTTGAAACACTATTTTTGTAAAATTTGTAATTGGATATTTGTTGCACTTTGTGGCCTATGGTGGAAAAGCAAATATCTTCACAAAAAACTAGACAGAAGCATTCTAAGAATCTTCTTTTTGATGTGTGAATTCACCTCACAGAGTTGAAACTTTTTTTATTGAGGACGTTTGAAACACTCTTTTTGTAGAATCTGCAAGTGGGTGTTTGGAGCACTTTGTGGCCTATAGTGGAAAAGGATGTATATTCACATAAAACCTAGACACAAGCATTCTGAAAAACTTCTTTGTGATGTGTTCATTCATCTCAAAGGGTTCAACCTTTCTTTTGATTGAGCAGTTTTCAAACACTCTTTTTGGAGAATCTGTAAGTGGATATTTGGAGCACTTTGAGCACTATGGTGGTAAAGGAAACATTTTCACATAAAAGCTACACAGAAGCATTCTGAGATACTTCTTTGTGATGTTTGCATTCATCTCACATAGATTAACCATTCTTTTGATTGAGCAGTTTTGAAACACTCTCTTTGTAGAATGTGCAAGTGGATATTTGGAATACTTTGATGAGTATGGTGGAAAAGGAAATACCTTCACATAAAAACTAGACAGAAGTACGCTGAGAAATTTCTTTGTGATGTGCACATTCATCTCACAGATTTCAAAATTTCTTTTGATTGAGCAGTTTTGAAACTCTCTTTTTCTAGAATCTGCCAGTGGATATTTGGAGTGCTTTGAGGCCTATGGTGGAGAAGGAAATATCCTCACAAAAAAACTAGAGAGAAGCATTCTGAGAAACTTCTTTGTGATGTTTGCATACATCTCATGGAGTTGAAACTTTCTATTGATTTAGCATTTTTTAAACACTTTTGTAGGATCTGCAGTGGATATTTGGAGCCCTTTGGGGCCTATGGTGGAAAAGAATTATCTTCTCATAAAAACTAGACAGAAGCATTCTGAGAAACTTCTTGGTGATGTGTGCATTCATCTCACAGTAGTTGAACCTTTCTTTTGATTGAGCAGTTTTGAAACGCTCTTTTCGTTGAATCTGCAAGTGCATATTTAGAGTGCTTTGAGGCACGTGGTGGAAAAGGAAATATCTTCACATAAACACTAGACAGAAGCATTCTGAGAAACGTCTTTATGATGTGTCCATTCATCTCACACAGTTGAAACTTTCTTTTCATTGAGCAGTTTTGAAACACTCTTTTTATAGAATCTGCAAGTAGATATTTGGAGTGCTTTGGAGAGAATGGTGGAAACGGAAATATCTTCATATAAAAACTACGGAGAAGCATTCTGAGAAACGGCTTTGTTGTGTGTGCCTTCAACTCACAGAGTTGAACCTTTCTTTTGATTGAGCAGTTTTGAATCCCGCTTTTTGTAGAATCTGCAAGTGGATATTTGGAGAGCCTTGGGGCCTATGGTGGAAAAGGAAATATCTTCACATAAAAACTACACAAAAGCATTCTGAGAAACTTCTTTCTGATGTATGCATACAACTCACAGAGTTGAACCTTTCTTTTGATTGTGCAGTTTTGAAACACTTCTTTTGTAGAATCTGCAAGTGGATATTCGGAGGACTTTGAGAAGTATAGTGGAAAAGGAAATAGCTTTGGACAAAATCTAGACAGAAGTATTCTGAGAAACTTCTTTGTGATGTGTGCATTCAACTCACAGAGTTGAAACTTTTTTTTTGAGGAGATTTGAAACACTCTTTTTTTTCTTATTATTATTCTTTAAGTTTTAGGGTACATGTGCACAATGTGCGCGTTAGTTACATATGTATACATGTGGCGTGCTGGTGTGCTGCACCCACTAACCCGTCATCTAGCATTAGATATATCTCCCAATGCTCTCCGTCCCCCCTCTCCCCACCCCACAACAGTCCCCAGAGTGTGATGTTCCCCTTCCTGTGTCCATATGTTCTCATTGTTCAATTCCCACTTATGAGTGAGAATATGAAGTGTTTGTTTTTTTGTTCTTGTGATAGTTTACTGAGAATGTTGATTTCCAATTTCATCCATGTCCCTACGAAGGACATGAACTCATCATTTTTTATGGCTGCATAGTATTCCATGGTGTATATGTGCCACATTTTATTAAACCAGTCTATCATTGTTGGACATTTGGGTTGGTTCCAAGTCTTTGCTAACACTCTTTTTGTAGAATCTGCAAGGGGGTGTTTGGAGCACTTTGTGGCCTATAGTGGAAAAGGATGCATATTCACATAAAAACTAGACAGAGGCATTCTGAAAAACTACTTTGTGATGTGTGCATTCATCACTAAGAGTTGAACCTTTCTTTTGATTGAGCAGGTTTGAAACACTCTTTTTGTAGAATCTGTAAGTGGATATTTGGAGTGCTTTGAGGCCTATGATGGTAAAGGAAATATCTTCAAATTAAAACAACACAGAAGCATTCTGAGAAACATCTTTGCAAGTGTGCATTCATCTCACAGGGTTGAACCTTTCTTTTGTTTGAGCAGTATTCAAACACTGTTTTTGTAGAATCTGCAATTCGATATTTGGAGAGTTCTGAGGCCTATGTTGGTAAAGGAAATATCTTCAAATAAAATCTGGACGGAAGCAATCTGAGAAACTACTATGTGATGTGTGCATTCAACTCAAAAAGTTGAACATATCTTTGAGGAGTTTGGAAACATTCTTTTTGTAGCATCTGCAAATGTATATTTGGAGCGCTTTAAGGCCTATAGTGGAAAAGGAAATATCTTCACATAAAAACCAGACAGAAGCATTCTTAGACACTCCTTTATGATGTGTGCGTTTATCTCACAGAATTCAACATTTCTTTTCATTGAGCAGTTTTGAAACACTTTTTGTGGAATCCGCAATTGGATATTTGGAACGCTTTGCCTCCTATAGTGGAAAAGGAAATATGTTCACATATAAACTAGACAGAAGCATTCTTGGAATCTTCTCCATGACGAGTACATTCACCTCACTGGGTTGAACCTTTCTTTTGATTAAATAGTTTTGAAACACTCTTTTTGTAGAATCTGCAGGTGGATATATGGAACGCTTTAAGGCCTATGGTGGAAAAGGAAATACCTTCACATAAAAGCTACACAGAAGCATTCTGAGAAACTTCTTTATGATGTGTGCAATCACCTCACAGAGTTGAAACTTTATTTTGATTCAGCAGTTTTGAAACACTCTTTTTGAAGAATATGCAAGTGGATATTTGAAGCGCTTTATGGCCTATAGTGGAAAATTTTATATCTTCAAATGAAAACTAGACAGAAGCATTCTGAGAAACTTCTTTGGGATATGTGCATTCATCTCACAGACTTGAAACTTTCTTTTGATTTAGCACTTTAGAAACACCCTTTTGTAAAATCTGCAAGTGGATATTTGGAGCGCTTTGCTTCCTCTAGTGGAAAAGGAAGTATTTTCACAAAGAAACAAGACAGAAGCATTCTGAGAAACCTGTTTGTGATGTGAGCATTCCTCTCACAGAGTTGAACCTTTCTTTTGATTGAGCAGTTTTGAAGCACACTTTTTGTTGAATCTGCAAGTGGATATTTGGAGAGCCTTGGGGCTTATGGTGGAAAAGTAAATATCTTCACATAAAAACTGCACAGAGGTATTCTGAGAAACTTCCTTCTGATGTGCACATTCAGCTCACCGAATTGGACCTTTCCTTTGATTGAGCAGTTTTGAAACACTCTTTTGTAGAATCTGCAATTGGATATTTGAAGTGCTTTCTAGCCTCGAGGGGAAAAGGAAATATCTTCACATAAAAACTAGACAGAAATATTCTGCGAAACTTCTTTGTGATGTGTGCATTCTTCTCACAGAGTTGAACTTTTCTTTTGATTCAGCAGTTTTGAAACACTCTTTTTGTAGAATCTGCAAGTGGATATTTGCAGCGCTTCCAGTTCTATGGTGTTAAAGGAAATATCTTCGCATCAAAACTAGACAGAAGCATTCTGAGAAACTGCTTTGTGATGTGTGTATTCATCTCACAGGTTTGAACCTTTCTTTTGATTAAGCAGTTTTGAAACGCACATTTGTAGAATCTACCAGTGGATATTTGGAATGCTTTGGGGCCTACGGTGGAAAAGGAAATATCTTCACATAAAAACTAGACAGAGCATTCTGAGAAGCTTCTTTGTGATGTGTGCATTCAACTAACACAGTTGAACCTTTGTTTTGATTGAGCAGTTTTGAAACACTCTTTTTGAAGAATCTGCAAGTGGATATTTGGAGTGCTTTGTGGCCTATTGTGGAAAAGGATATATCTTCAAATAAAAACTAGACAGAAGCACTTTGAGAAACTTGTTTATGAGATGTGCATTCATCTCACAGACTTCAACCTTTCTTTCGATTGAGCAGTTTTGAAACACTATTTTTGTAGAATCTGCAAGGGATATTTGAAGAGATTTGAGGCCTAATGTGGAAAAGGAATTATCTTCACATGAAAACTAGACAGAAGCATTCTGAGAATCTTCTTTGTGATGTGTGCATTCATCTCACAGAGCTGAAACTTTCTTTTGATTCAGCAGTTTTGAAATACTCTGTTTATGGAATCTGCTTGTGTATTTTTGGAGCGATTTGAGTCATGTGGTGGAAAAGGAAATATCGTCATATGAAAACTAGAAAGAAGCATTCTGAGAAAATTCTTTGTGATGTGTGCATTCAACTCACAGAGTTGAAAGTTTCTTTTGATTGAACAGTTTGGAAACACTGTTTTTGCAGAATCTGCAAGTTGATATTTGTAGCGCTTTGTGGACTATATTGGAAAAGGAAATATCTTCACATATATACAAGACAGAAGCATTCAGGGAAACTATTTTGTGATGTGCATTTAATTCAAAGAGCTGAACATTTCCTCTGATTGAGCTGCTTGGAAAGCATCTTTCTGTAGTATCTGCAAATGGACATTTTGAGCACTTTGAGTCCTATGGTGGAAAAGGAAATATCTTCACATAAAAACTAGACAGAAGCATTCTGAGAAAATTCTTTGTGATGTGTGCATTCAACCCACAGATTTGAACCTTTCTTTTGATAGAGCAGTTTGAAAGCAGTCTTTTTGTAATATCTACCAGTGGATATTTGGATCATTTTACATCATGGATTGGAAAAGGAAACATCTTCACATAAAAACTAGACAAAAGCATACTGAGAAACTTCTTTGTGATGTGTCCATTCATCTCATAGAGTTAAATCTTTCTTTTGATTGAGCAGGTTTGAAACACTCTTTTTGTAGGTTCTGCAAGTGGATATTTGGAGCGCTCTGTGGCCGATAGTGGAAAAGGAAATATCTTCACATAAAAAATACACAGAAGCACTCTGAGAAACTTCTCTGTGTTGTGTGTAGTCATATCACAGACGTGAAACTTTCTTTGATACAGCAGTTTTAAAACACTCTTTTTGGAGATTCTGAAAGTAGATATTTGGAGAGACTTGAGGCCTATGGTGGAAAAGGAAATATCTTCACATAAAAAGTAGACAGAAGCATTCTGAGAAGCTTCTTTGTGATATGTGCATCCATCTCAAAGAGTTGAACCTTTCTTTTGATTGAGTATTTTTGAAGAACTCTGTTTGTAGAATCTTCAAGTGGATATTTGGAGTGCTTTGTGGCCTGTGGTGGAAAAGGAAATATCTTCACATAAAAACTAGACAGAAGCATTCTGAGAAACTTATTTGTGATGTGCTCATTCAACTCACAGATTTAAACTTTTCTTTTGATTGAGCAGTTTGGAAACAGTCTTTTAGTAGTACCTGCAAACGGATATTTGGAGTGCTTTGGGGCCTGTGGTGGAAAAGGAAATATATACACATGAAAACTAGACAGAAACATTATGAGAAACTGCTCTGTGATGCTTGCATTCATCACCAGAGTTGAACCTTTCTTTTGATTGAACAGTTTTGAAACATTCTTTCTGTGGAATCTGAAGGGGATATTTGGAGCGCTTTGCGGCCTATGGTGAAAAACGAAATATCTTCACATAAAAACTAGACAGAAGCATTCTGAGAAGGTGGTTTGTGATGTGTGCATTCATCTCACAGAGTTAAACCTTTCTTTGGATTGAGCAGTTTTGAAACACTCTTATTGTACAATCTGCAAGTGGATATTTGGAGAGTTTGAGGCCACTGGTGCAAAAGCAAATATCTTCACATAAAAACTAGAGAGAACCATTCTGAGAAATCTCTTTGAGATGCGTGCATTCAACTCATAGAGTTGGACCTTTCCTTTGATTGAGCAGTTTGGAAGCAGTCTTTTTGCAGTATCTGCAAATGGATATTTGGAGCACTTTCAGGCCTATAGTAGGAAAGGAAATATCTTCAAATAAAAACTAGACAGAAAATTACTGAGAAACTTGTTAGTGATGTGTGCATTCATCTCACAGAGTTGAAACTTTCTTTTGATTGAGCAGTTTGGAAACACTCTTTTAGTAGAAACTGCAAGGGGATATTTGGAGCACTTTGCGGTCTTTGGTAGAAAAGGATATATCTTCACATAAAAAATAGACAGAAGCATTCTGAGGAACTTTTTCATGGTGCGGGTATTCATCTCAAAGAGTTGAACTTTTCTTTTGATTGAGCAGCTTTGAAAAACTCTTTCTGCAGAATCTGCAAGTTGATATTTGGAGTGCTTTGCGGCCTATAGTAGAAAAGGAAATATCTCCACATAAAACTAGACAGAAGCATTCTGAGAAACTTCTTTGTGATGTGTGCATTCATGTCACAGAGTTGAACCTTTCTTTTGTTTGAGCAGTTTTGAAACCCTCTTTTTGTAGAATCTTCAAGTGGATATTTTTAGCACTTTGGGGCCTATGGTGGAAAAGAAAACATCTTCACATAAAAACTAGTCAGAAGCTTTCTGAGAAACTTCTTTGTGATGTATGCATTCAACTCATGGAGTTGAACCTTTCTCTTGATTGAGCAGTTTGGGAACAGTCTTTTTGTAGTATCTGCAAATGGATATTTGGAGAGCTTTGAGGCCTATGGTGGAAAAGGAAATATCTTCCCATAAAAACTAGACAGAAGCATTCTCAGAAACTTCTTTGTGATGTGTGCATTCATCTCACAGAGTTGAACCCTTGTTTTGATTGAGCAGTGTTGAAACACTTTTTATAGAATCAGCAAGTGGATATTTGTTGCGCTTTGAGGCCTATGGTGGAAAAGAAAATATCTTCACAGAAAAACCACAAAGAAGAATTCTGAGAAACACCTTTGTGGTGTGTGGTTTCATCTCTCAAATTTGAACCTTTCTCTTTATTGAGCAGTTTGGAAACAATCTTTTTGTAGTATCTGCAAATGGATTTTTGGAGCTCTTTGAGGCCTGTGGTGAAAAAGGAAGTATCCTCACATAAAAACCAGACAGAAGGATTCCTAGAAACTGCTTTGTGATGTGTGCATTAATCTCACAGATTTGAAACTTTCTTTTGATTGAGCAGTTTTGAAACACTCTTTGTGTAGAATCTGCAAGTGGATATTTGGAGCACTTTGAGGCCTATGGTGGAATAGGAAATATCTTCACATTAAAACAGGAGAGAAGCATTCTGAGAAACTTCTTTGTGTTATGTGCATTCATTTCACAGAGTTGAACCATTCCTTTGATTGAGCAGTTTGCCAACTGTCATTTTGTAGAATCTACAGAGGGATATTTGTGAACCCATTGATGCCTATGGGGTGTTAGGAAATATCTTCATATAAAAACTAGAGAGACACTTTCTGAGAAACTTCTTTGCGATGTGTGTATTCATCTCACAGAGTTGAACTTTTCTTTTGATTGAGCAGTTTGGAAACAGTCTTTTTTGGAATCTGCAAACAGATATTTTGTTTGCTTTGAGACCTATGGTGGAAAAGGACATATCTTCACATAAAAACTAGACAGAAGCATTCTGAGAAACTTCTTTGTGATGTGCGCACTCATCTCACAGAGATGAAGTTTTCTTTTGATTGAGCAGTTTTGAAAAACTCTTTTTGTACAATCTGCAAGTCGATATTTGGAGCGTTTTGTTTCCTATATTGGAAAAGGTAATATCTTCACATGGAAACTTCACAGAAGCATTCTGAGAAACTTCTTTGTGATATGTGCATTCATCTCACAGGGTTTAACTTTCTTTTGATTGAGCAGTTTGGAGCCCATCGTTTTGTAGAATCTATGAAGGGGTATTTTTGTTCCCATTGAGGCTTATGGGGTAATAGGAAATATCTTCACATAAAAACTAAACAGAAAATTTCTGAGAAAATTATTTGTGATATCTGCTTTCATCTCACAGAGTTGAAACTTTCTTTTGATTGGGCAGTTTGGAATCAGTCTTTTTATAGAATCTGCAAGTGGATATTTGGAGGGCTTTGGGACCTATGGTGAAAAAGGAAATATCTTCACATTAAAAATATACAGAAGCGTTCTGAGAAACTTCTTTGTCTTGTGTCCATTAATTTCGCAGACTTTAACCTTTGTATTGATTGAGCAGTTTGGAAACAGTAGTTTTGTAGAATCTGTAGAGGGATATTTTTCAGCCTACTGAGGCCTCTGGGGAAATAGGGAATATCTTCAGATAAGAACTAGACAGAAGCATTCTGAGAAACTCCCTTCTGATGTGTGCATTCATTTCACAGAGTTGAACCTTTCTTTTGATTGAGCAGTTTGAAAACAGTCTTTCTGTAGTAACTGCAAATGGATATTTGGAGTGCTTTGAGGCATACGTTTAAAAAGGAAAACAAACAAACAAACAAACAACCCCTTCAGAAAGTGGGCGAAGGACATGAACATACACTTCTCAAAAGAATATGTTTATGCAGCCAAAAAACACATGAAAAAATGCCCACCATCACTGGCCATCAGAGAAATACAAATCAAAACCACAATGAGATACCATCACACACCAATTAGAATGGCAATCATTAAAAAGTCAGGAAACAACAGGTGCTGGAGAGGATGTGGAGAAATAGGAACACTTTTACACAGTGGGTGGCACTGTAAACTAGTACAACCATTGTAGAAGTCAGTGTGGCGATTCCTCAGGGATCTAGAACTAGAAATACCATTTGACCCAGCCATCCCATTGCTGGGTATATACCCAAAGGACTATAAATCATGCTGCTATAAAGACACATGCGCACGTATGCTTATTGCGGCACTAGTCACTATAGCAAAGAGTTGGAACCAACCCAAATGTCCAACAATGATAGAGTTGATTAAGAAAATATGGCACGTATACACCATGGAATACTATGCAGCCATAAAAAATGACGAGTTCATGTTCTTTGTAGGGACATGGATGAAATTGGAAATCATCATTCTCAGTAAACTATCGCAAGAACAAAAGACCAAACACTGCATATTCTCACTCATAAGTGGGAATTGAACAATGAGAACACATGGACACAGGAAGGGGAATGTCATACTCTGGGGACTGTTGTGGGGTGGGGTGAGAGGGCAGGGATAGCATTAGGAGATATACCTAATGCTAAATGACGAGTTAATGGGTGCAGCACACCAGCGTGGTACATGTATACATATGTAACTAACCTGCACATTGTGCACATGTACCCTAAAACTTAAAGTATAATAATAATAAAATAAATAAATAAATAAATAAATATAAAGGAAATATATTCACATAAAAACTTGACAGAAGCATTCTGAAGAACTTCTTTGTCATGTGTGCATTCATTTCACAGAGTTGAAACTTTCTTTTGATTGAGCAGTTTTGAAACACTCTTTTTTCAGAATCTGCAACTGGATAATTAGAAAACGTTGAGGCCTATGGTGGAAAAGGAAATATCTTCACATAAAAATCAGACACAAGCATTCAGAGAAACTTATTTGTGATGTGCGCATTCAACTCCCTGTGTTGAACTTTTGATTGAGTAGTTTTAACAAACTCTTTTTGTAGTATCAGAAACTGGATATTTGTAGCGTTTTGAGGCCTATAGAGGAAAAGGAAATATCTTCACATAAAACCCAGAAAGAAGCATTCTGAGAGAATTCTCTTCGATTTCTGCATTCATCTCACAGAGTTGAACCTTTCTTTTTTGAGAAGTATTTAATCACTCTTTTTGTAGAATCTGCAAGGAGATATTTGGAGCACTTTGAGGCCTTTGGTGGAAAAGGTAATATCTTCACATAAAAATCAGACACAAGCATTCTGAGTAACTTCTTTGTGATGTGTGCATTCAACTCCCTGTGTTGAAACTTTCTTTTGATTGAGCAGTTTTAACACACTCTTTTTGTAGAATCTGCAAGTGGATATTTGGAGCACTTTGATGCCTATGATGGAAAAGGAAATATCTTCACATAAAAGCTAGACAGAAGCATTCTGAGAATGTTCTTTGTGATGTATGCATTCATCTCACTGAGCTGAACCTTTCTTTTTTGAGAAGTATTTAAACACTCTTTTTGTAGAATCTGTAAGTGGATACTTGGAGTGCTTTGAGGCCTTTGGTGGAAAAGGAAATATCTTCACAGCAAAACTAGACAGAAGCATTCTGAAAAACTTCTTTGCGATGTGTGCATTCATCTCACCAAGTTAAACCTATCTTATGATTGAGCAGTTTTGAAACACTCTTTTTGTGGAATCTTCAACTGGATACTTGGAGTGCTTAGATGTCTGTGTTGGAAAAGGAAATATCTTCACATGAAAACAAGCAAGAAGCATTCTGAGAAAGTTCTTTGTGATATGTGCATTCATCTCACAGAGCTGAAATTTTCTTTTGATTGAGAAGTTTGGACACCGTCTTTTTCTCACCTGCAAATGGATATTTAGAGCACTTTGAGGCCTATGGTGAAAAAGGAAATATCTTCCCCTAAAAACTAGGCAGAAGCATTCTAGGAAACTTCTTTGTGATGTGTGCATTCATGTCACAGAGCTGAAACTTTCTTTTGATTGAGAAGTTTTGAAAAACTCTTTCGTAGAGTGTGCAAGTGGATATTTGGAGCGCTTTGAGGCCTATGGTGGAAAAGGAAATATCTTCACATAAAAACTAGACAGAAGCATTCTGAGAAATTTCTTTCTGATGTGTGCATTCATCTCACGAAGTTGAACCATTCTTTTAATTGAGCAGTTTTGAAACACACTTTTTGCAGTATCTTCAAGTGGATATTTGTAGAGCTTTGAGGCCTATGGTAGAAAAGGAAACATTGTCACATAAAAACTAGACAGAAGCATTCTGAGAAACTTCTGCCTGGTGGGTGTATTCATTTCACGGAGTTGAACCTTTCCTTGTATTGAACAGTTTGGAAACAGTCGTTTTGTAGAATCTGCAGAGAGATATTTTTGAGCCCATTGAGACGTATGGGGTGATAGGAAATATCTTCACATAAAAATTAGACAGAAACTTTCTGAGAAACTTCTTTCAGATGTGTGCTTTCATCTCACAGATTTGAACTTTTCTTTTGATTGAGCAGTTTGGAAACAGTGTTTTTGTACAATCTATAAGTGGATATTTGGGGCACTTTCAGGCCTATGGTGGAAAAAGACACATCTTCCCATAAAAACTAGACAGCAGCATTCTGAGAAACTTATTTGTGATCTGTGCATTCATCTCACAGAGTTGAACCTTTCTTTTGATTCAGCAGTTTTGAAACTGTCGTTTTGTAGAATCTGCAAAGGGATATTTGTGAGCCCATTGAGGCTTCTGGGGAGATAGGAAATATCTTCACATAACAACTAGACAGATACTTTCTGAGAAACTATTTTGTCATGTGTTACTTCAACTCACCGGGTTGAAACTTTCTCTTGATTGAGCAGTTTGGGAACAGTCTTTTTGTAGAATCTGCAAATGAATATTTGGAGCACTTTTGGCCTATGTTGAAAAATGAAGTATCTTTCCATAAAAACTAGGCAGAAGCTTTTGGAGAAATTTCTTTGTGATGTGTGCATTCATCTCACACAGTTGAACTTTTCTTTTGATTGAGCAGTGTGGAAACACTCTTTTTGTAGAGTCTGCAAGTGGATATTTTGAGTGCTTTGTGGCCTATAGTGAAAAAGGAAATATCTTCACATAAAAACTGGACAGAAGAATTCTGAGAAACTTCCTTTGAATGTGTGCATTCATCTCACAGTGTTGAACTTTTTTCTTGATTGAGCAGCTTCTAAACAGTCATTTTGTAGAATATGCAAAGGAATATTTGTGAGCCCATTGATGCCTCTGGGGAAATAGGAAATATCTTCAAATAAAAACTAGACAGAATCTTTCTCAGAAACTTCTTTGTGATATGTGCATTCATCTCACTGAGTTGAACTTTATTTTGATTGAGCAGTTTGGAAACAGTCTTTTTCTAGTATCTGCAAATGGATATTTTAAGCGCTCTGAGGCCTACGGTGAAAAAGGAAATATCTTCAATATAAATCAGACAGAAGCATTCATAGAAACTTCTTTGTGATGTGTGCATTCATCTCACAGATTAGAACTTTTCTTTTGATTGAGCAGTTTTGAAACACTCTTTTAGCAGAATCTGCAATGTATGTTTGAAGCACATGAGGAATATGGTGGAAAAGGAATCTTCTTCACATAAAAACGAGACAGAAGCATTCTGAGAAATTTTTCTGTGATGGGTGCATTCATTTCACAGAGTTGAACCCTTCCTGTGATTGAATGGTTTGGAAACAGTCGTTTTGTATAATCTGCAGAAGGATATTTGTGAGCCGATTGAGGCCTATGGGGTGATAGGAAATATGTTCACATAAAAACCAGACAGAAAATTTATGAGAAACTTCTTTGTGATATTTGCTTTCATCTCACAGAGTTGAAACTTTCTTTTGATTGAGCAGTTTGGGAACAGTCTTTTTGTAGTATCTGCAAATGGATATTACCAGTGCTTTGAGACCTATGGTGAAAAAGGAAATATCTTCCCATAAATACAAGGCAGAAGGATTCTGAGAAACTTCTTTGTGATGTCTGCATTCATCTCACAAAGTTGAACCTTTCTTTTGATTGAGCAGTTTTGAAACACTCTCTTTGTAGTATCTGCAAGTGGATATTTGGAACTCTTTGAGACCTATAGTGGAAAAGGAAATATCTTCACATAAAAAACTAGAAATAAGAATTCTGAGAAACTTCCTAGGAATGTGTGCTTTCTTCTCACACTGTTGAACCTTTCTTTTGATTGAGCAGCTTCGATACAGTCATTTAGTAGAATCTGAAAGAGAATATTTGAGAGCCCATTGAGGCCTCTTGGGAAATAAGAAATATCTTCATCTAAAAACTAGACAAAAACTATCTTAGCAACTTCCTTGTGATGTGTGCATTTATCACACACAGTTGAACTTTCTTTTGATTGAGCAGTTTGGAAACAGTCATTTGTATTATCTATAAATGGATATTTGGAGAGTAATGAGGCCTATGGTGAAAAAGGAAATATCTTCACATAAAAATCAGATGGAAGCATTCTTATAAACTTCTTTGTGATGTGTACATTCATCTCACAGACTTCAACCTTTCTTTTGATTGAGCAGTTTTGAAACACTCTTTTTGAAAGATCTGCAAGTGTATATTTGAAGCACTTTGAGGCCTCTGGTGGAAAAGGAAACATCTTCACATAAAAACTAGACACAAGCATTCTGAGAAACTTCTTTCTCATGGGTGCATTCATTTCACAAAGTTGAACCTTTCCTTTGATTGAGCAGTTTGAAAATCATCGTTTTGTAGAATCTGCAGAGGGATATTTGTGAGCCCATTGAGACTTATGGGGCGATAGGAAATATCTTCGCATAAAAACTAGACAGACACTTTCTGAGAAACTTCTTTGGGATGTGTGCTTTCATCTCACAGAGTTGAAACTTTCTTTTAATTGAGCAGTTTGGAAACAGTCTTTTTGTAGTATCTGCAATTGGATATTAGCAGCTCATTGAGGCCTTTGGTGAAAAAGGAAATATCTTCCCATAAAAACTAGGCAGAAGCATTCTGAGAAACTTCTTTGTGATGTGTGCATTCATCTTACAGAGTTGAACCTTTCTTTTTATTGAGCAGTTTGGAAACAGGCTTTTTGTAGTATCTGCAAATGGTAATTGGAGTGCTTTGAGGCATATGTTGGAAAAGGAAATATCTTCACATTAAAAGTAGACTGAAGCATTCTGAGAAACTTCTTTGTGATGTGTGCATTCATCTCACAGAGTTGAACTTTTATTTTGATTGAGCAGTTTTGAAACACTCTTTTTGTACAATCTGCAAGTGTATATTTGGAGCGCTTTGAGGTCATTTGTGGAAAAGGACATATCTTCCTATAAAAACTAGACAGAAGTATTCTGAGAAACTTTTTGTGATGTGTGCATTCATCTCACAGAGTTGAACTTTTCTTTTTATTAAGCAGTTTGGAAACAGTATTTTTGTAGAATCTGCAAGTTGATATTTGGAGCGCTTTGGGGTCATTGGTGGAAAAGGACATATCTTCCGATAAAAACTAGACAGAAGTATTCTGAGAAACTTTTTGTGATGTGTGCATTCATCTCACAGAGTTGAACTTTTCTTTTTATTGAGCAGTTTGGAAACAGTATTTTTGTAGAATCTGCAAGTTGATATTTGGAGCACTTTGAGGCCTATGGTGGAAAAGGACATCTTCCCATAAAAACTAGACAGCAGCATTTTGAGAAACTTCTTTGTGATGTGTGCATTCATCTCACAGAGTTGAACCATTCTTTTGATTGATTAGTTTGGAAACTGTCGTTTTGTAGAATCTGCAAAGGGATGTTTGTAAGCCCATTGAGGCTTCTGGGGAAATAGAAAATACCTTCACATAAAAGCTAGACAGATACTCTCTGAGAAACTTATTTGTCATGTGTGACTTCATCTCACTGTGTTGAAACTTTCTCTTGATTGAGCAGTTTGGAAACAGTCTTTTTGTAGAATCTGCAAATGGATATTTGGAGTGCCTTTGGCCTATGTTGAAAAATGAAATATCTTCCCATAAAAACTAGGCAGAAGCTTTCTGAGAAACTTCTTTGCACTGTGTGCATTCATCTCACAGAGTTGAACTTTTCTTTTGATTGAGCAGTGTGGAAACACTCTTTTTGTAGGATCTGCAAGTGGATATTTGGAGCGCTTTGCATCCTATAGTGGAAAGGGAAATATGTTCACATAAAAACTAGACAGAAGAATTCTGAGAAACTTCCTTGGAATGTGTGCATTCATCTCACAATGTTGAACCATTCTTTTGATTGAGCAGCTTTGAACAGTCGTTTTGTAGAATATGCAAAGGAATATTTGTGAGCCCATTGAGTCCTCTGTGGAAATAGGAAATATCTTCACATAAAAACTAGACAGAATCTTTCTGAGAAACTTCTTTGTGATGTGTGCATTCATCTCACTGAGTTGAACATTCTTTTGATTGAGTAGTTTGGAAACAGTCTTTTTGTAGTATCTGCAAATGGATATTTGGAGCATATTGAGGCCTATGGTGAAAAAAGAAATATCTTCACATAAAAATCAGACAGAAGCATTCGTAGAAACTTCTTTGTGACGTGTGCATTCATCTCACAGATTTGAACTTTTCTTTTGATTGAACAGTTTTGAAACCGTCTTATAGCAGTATCTGCAAGTGTATATTTGGAGCGCATGTGGACTATGGTGGAAAAGGAATCTTCTTCACATAAAAACTAGAAAGAAGTATTCTGAGAAACTTCTTTGTGATGGGTGCATTCATTTCACAGGGTTGAACCTTTCCTGTGATTGAGCAGTTTGGAAACCGTCGTTTTGTGTAATCTGCAAAAGGATACTTGTGAGTCGATTGAGGCCTATGGGGCAATATGAAATATCTTCACATTAAAACTAGACAGAAACTTTCTGAGAAACTTCTTTGTGATGTTTGTTTCATCTCCCAGAGTTGAAACTTTCTTTTGATTGAGTAGTTTGGAAACAGACTTTTTGTAGTATCTGCAAATGGATATTTGGGGCGTATTGGGGCCTATGGTGAAAAAGCAAATATCTTCACATAAAAATCAGACAGAAGCATTCGTAGAAACTTTTTGTGATGTACGCATTCATCTCAC
Organism: Homo sapiens; assembly: GCF_000001405.40. Taxonomy (NCBI): domain Eukaryota; kingdom Metazoa; phylum Chordata; class Mammalia; order Primates; family Hominidae; genus Homo; species Homo sapiens. The sequence goes on from NC_000022.11 coordinate 12,423,411, forward strand.
ATATTTAAACCTTTCTCTTGATTGAGCAGTTTTGAAAGACTCTTTTAGCAGAATCTGCAAGTGTATATTTGGAGCGCATGCGGAATATGGTGGAAAAGGAAATATCTTCACATAAAAACTAGACAGAAGCATTCTGAGAAACTTCTTTGTGATGGATGCATTCATTTCACAGGGTTGAACCTTTCCTGTGATTGAGCAGTCAGGAAGCAGTCGTTTTTCATAATCTGCAGAAGGATATTTGTAAGCCGATTGAGGCTTATGGGGCGATAGGAAATATCTTCACATAAAAACTAGACAGAAACTTTCTGAGAAACTTCTTTGTGATGTTTGCTTTCATCTCACAGAGTTGAAACTTTCTTTTGATTGGACAGTTTGGAAGCAGTCTTTTTGTGATATCTGTAAATGGATATTAACAGCACTTTGAGGCCTATGGTGAAAAAGGAAATATCTTCCCATAAAAACTAGATAGAAGCATTCTGAGAAACTTCTTTGTGATGTCTGCATTCATCTCACAGAGTTGAACATTTCTTTTGATTGAGCAGTTTTGAAACACTCTGTTTGTAGAATCCGCAAGTGGATGTTTGGAGTGCTTAAAGGCCTATTGTGGAAAAGGAAATATCTTCACATAAAAACTAGATAGAATCATTCTGAGAAACTTCTTTGTTTTGTGGGCATTCATCTAACAGAGTTGAACGTTTCTATTGATTCAGTAGTTTGGAAGCAGTCATTTTGTAGAATGTGCAGAGGGGTATTTTTGAGCCAACTGAGGCCCATGGGGCAATAGGAAATAATTTCACATAAAAACTAGACAGAAACTTTATGAGAAACTACTTTGTGATTTGCTTTCATCTCACAGAATTGAACCTTTCTTTTCATTAAGGAGTTTGGAAACAGTCTTTTTGTAATATCTGCAAATGGATATTTGAAGAGCTTTGAGTCCTATGGTGAAAAAGGAAATATCTTAACATAAAAACCAGACAGAAGCATTCCTAGAAACTACTTCATTATGTGTGCATTCATCTCATGGTGTTGTACCTTTCTTTTGATTGCAGTTTTGAAACATACTTTTTGCAGAATGTGCCAGGGGATACTTGGAGCGCTTTGAGGCCTATGGTGGAAAAGGAAATATCTTCATATAAAAACTAGACAGAAGCATTCTGAGAAACTTCTTTGTGTTGTGGGCATTCATCTCACAGAGTTGGATTTTGTTTTTGTTGAGCAGCTTGGAAACACTCTTTTTGTAGAGTCTGCCATTGGATATTTGGAGCGCTGTCAATCCTATGGTGGAAAAGGTCTTATTTTCACATAAGAACTATAAAGCAGGTTTTCTAAAAACAACCTTGTGATGTGTGCATTCATCTCACAGAGGTAAGTGTTTCTTTTCTGCAATCAGTCTGGAAACTCCGTTCTTGTACAATCTCAAAGAGGGTATTTTTGAGCACTTTGAGGCCTATTGTGACAAAGGAAATATCTTCACATTCAACGCATAAAGAACGTTTCTGAGATTCTTCTTTGTGATATGTGCATTCATCTCCCAGATTTGAACGTCTCTTTTAATTCAGCCGTTTGGAAACAGTCTTTTTGAAGAATCTGCAAACGGATATTTGTGAGCACTTTGAGGCCTATGCAGGAAAAGAAGTATCTTCACAGAAAAATATAAAGAAGGTTTCTGGGAAACTGTTTTTTGATGTCTGCATTCATTTCACAGAGGTAAACAATTCTTTTCTTGTTCAATTGTGAAACTCTGTTCTTGTAGGATCTGCTAAGGGACATTTTTGAGTGCCTAGAGCCCTGTGGTGAAAAAGATATTGTCTTCACATAAAAACTAGACAGAGGCCTACTGAGAAACTTCTTGGTGATGTGTGCATTCATCTCACAGAATTGTAACTTTCTTTTGATTAAGCAGTTTAGAAACGTCTTTTGTGGAATCTGTAAAGGGATATTTCTGGTCACTTTGAGGACTATGGTGAAAGAGAAAGTATCACCTACTGAGAAACTGCTTGGTGATGTGTGCATTCATCTCACAGAATTGAAACTTTCTTTTGATTAAGCAGTTTGGAAACGTCTTTTTGTGGAATCTGTAAGGGGAAATTTCTGAGCACTTTGAGGCCTATGGTGAAAGAGAAAGTATCTTCATGTAAAAACTAGACTAAAGATTTCTGAGAAACTGCTTTGTGATGTATGTATTCATCTCACAGAGTTCAACAATTCTTTTGATTGAGCAGTTGGGAAACCATCTTTTTGTAGAATCTGCAAAGGGATATTTGTGAGCACTTTGAGGTCTATGGTTAAAAGGAAATATCTTCACATAAAAACTATAAAGAAGGTTTGTGAGAAACTTCTTTATGATGTGTGCATTCATCTCACAGAGTTGAACCACTCCTTTGACTCAGCGGTTTGGAAACAGTCTTTTTTTAGGATCTGCAAAGGGATATTTTTGAGCACTTTGAGGCCCATGGTGAAAAAGGAAACACTTACACATAAAAAAAACATAGAAGTTTTCTGAGAATCATCTTTTTGATATGTGCATTCATCCCACAGAGGTGAACCTTTCTTTTGATGAGCATTTTGGAAGTAGTATTTGGTAGAATTTCCAAAGGGTTATTAGTTAGTGTTTTGTGTCCTATGTTGGAAAAGGAATTATTTTTACATAAAAACTAGACAGAATATTTCTGAGAAACTGACTTGTGATGTGTGCTTTCATCTCACAGAGGTAACCATTTCTTTTCATTGAACAGATTGGAAATTCTGTTGTTGTAAAATCTGCAAAGGGATATTTGTCAGCACTTTGAGGCCTATGGTGAAAAAGGAATTATCTTCACATAAAAACTAGACAGAAGCTTTCTGTGAAATATCTTGGAGATGCGAGAATTCGTCTCACAGAGTTGAAACATTCTTTTGATTGGGCAGTTTGTAAACAGTGTTTTGGTAGAATCTGCAAAGGGATATTTGTGATGCTTTGAAACATATGGTGAAAACGAAATATTTTCACATGAAAACTAGAGAGAAGCTTTCTGAGAAACCTTCTTGTGATGTGTGCATTCATCTCACCGATTTGAAACTTTCTTTGGATTAAGCAATTTGGAAACAGTATTTTTGTAGACTCTGTAAAGTCATATTTTTGAATGGTATGAGGCCTATGATGAAATAGGAAATATCTTCACATAAAAACTAGACAGAAGCTTTCCGAGAAACTTCTTTGTGATGTGTGCATTCATCTCGTAGAGTTCAACCATTCTACTGATTGAACAGTTTGGAAACACTCTTTTTGTAGAATCGGCAAAGGGATATTTATGAATGTTCTGAGGCCTATGGTGAAAAAGGAAATGTATTCACATAAAAAGTATAAACAAGGTTTCTCAGAAACAGCTTTGTGATGTATGCATTCATCTCAAAGAAGTAAACGTTTCTTTTCTCTGATCTGTCTGGAAACTGTTCTTGTAGATTCTGCAAAGGGATATTTGTGAGTGCTTTGAGGCCTATGGTGAAAAACGAAATATCTTCACATAAAAATTAGAGAGAGGTTTTCTGAGAAACCTCTTTGTGATGTGGGCATTCATCTCACAAAGTTGAAACTTACTTTTGATTGATCAGTATGGAAACCATCTGTTTGTGCAATCTGCAAAGGGACATTTATGAGAGCTTTGAGGCCAATGGTGAAGAAGGAAATATATTTATATAAAAGGCATAAAGAAGGTTTCTTAGAAAGAGCTTTGTGGTGTGTGCATTGATCTCAGAGAGGTAAACGTTTATTTTCTATGATCAGTCTGGAAACTCTGTTCTTGTAGAATCTGCAAAGGGATATTTGTGAGTGCTTTGAGGCCTATGATGAAAAAGGAAATATCTTCACATACAAACTAGACAGAAGCTTTCTTAGCGGCTTCTTTGTGATGTGTGCAATCATCTCACAGAGTGGAACCATTCTTTTGATTGAGCAGTCTGGAAACAGTATTTTTTGTAGAATCTGCAAGGGATATTTGTCATGACTTGGAGTGTTATGGTGAAAAAGGAAATATCTTCACATAAAAAATGGACAGAAGATTTCTGAGAAACCTCTTTGAGATGTGTGCATCCATCTCAATCCATCTCACAGAGTTCAACCATTTATTTGATTGAGCAGTTGGGAAGCAGTCTTTTTGCAGAATCTACAAAGGGATATTGCTGAGCAATTTGAGGCCTGTGTTGAAAAAGGAAATATCTTCACATAAAAACTATAAAGAAGGTTTCTGAGAAACTTCTTTGTGATGTGTGCATTCATCTCACTCAGTTCAACCTTTCTTTTCATTGAGCAGTTTGGAAACAGTCTTTTTAAATATTCTTCAAGTGGATACTTGTGAGCACCTTGAGGCTCATGGGGAAAAAGGAAACATTCACATAAAAACTTAATAGAAGCTTTCTGAGAAACTGCTTTTTGACGTGTGCAATCATCTCACAGAGTTGAACCTTTCTTTTGATGAGCAGTGTGGAAACAATCTTTTTGTAGAATCTGCAAAAGGACAATTTTGAGCGCTTTGCATCCTGTGGTGGAAAAGGAGATGCCTTCACATAAAAACTAGACAGAATATTTCTCAGAAACTGCTTTGTGATATGTGCATTCATCTCCCAGATGTGTCTGTTTCTTTTCATTGAGAAGATTGGAAACTCTTTTCTTGTAAGATCTGCAAAGGGATATTTGTGAGCCCTTTGAGGTGTATGGTGAAAAAGGAAATATCTTCACATAAAAACTACACAGAAGCTTTCTGAGAAACATCCTAGTGATGTGAGCATTCGCCTTACAGTGTTGAAACTTCTTTTAATTGAGCAATGTGTAAAGAGTCTTTTTGTAGAATCTGCAAAGGGATATTTGTGAATGCTTTGAGGCCTATGGTGAAAAAGGAAATATCTTCACATAAAAACTACAAAGAAGCTTTCTGAGAAACCTCTTTGTGGTGTGCATACATCTCACACAGTTGAACCTTTCTTTTGATTGAGCAATTTGGAAGAAGTATTTTTGTAGAATCTGTAAAGGGATATTTGTGAGCACTTTGAGGCCTATGGTGAAAAACTAGACAGAAGCATTCTGAGAAACTGCTTTGTGATGTGTGCATTCATCACACAGAGTTGAACCTTTGTTTTGATTGAGCCGTTTGGAAACAGACTTTTTGTAGACTCTGCAAACGGATATTTGGAGTACTTTGAGGTCTATCATGAAAAAGGAAATATATTCACATAAAAACTAGACTGAACGTTTCTGAGAAACTTCTTCGAGCTGTGTGCATTCATCTGACAGTGTTCAATAATTCTTTTTATTGAGCGGTTTGGAAACAGTCTTTTTGTAGAATCTGCAAAGGGATATTTGTGAGGGCTTTGAGGCCTATGTTGAAAAAGGAAATATCTTCACAGAAAAACCATAAAGAAAGTTTCTGAGAAAATTCTTTGGATGTGTGCATTCATCACACAGAATTGAAACATTCTTTGGATTGAGCAGTTTGCAAATAGTCTTTTTGTAGAATCTGCAGAGGGATATTTGTAGCGCTTTGAGGCCTATGGTGAATAAGGAAATATCTTCACATAAAAACTAGACAAAAGTTTTCTGAGAAACTTTTTGTGATGTGTGCATTTATCTCATAGAGTTTAACATTTGTTTTGATTGAGCAGTCTGGAAACAGTCTTTTTGTACAATCTGCAAAGGGATATTTAGGAGCAAGTTGAGGCCTATGGTGGAAAAGGAAATATCTTCACATAAAAAATAGAAAGAAGCATTCTGAGAAGCTGCTTTAAGATATGTGTACTCATCTCACAGAGGTAAACATTTCTTTTCATTGAACAGTTTGTAAACTCTGTTATTCTAGAGTCTGCAAAGGGATATTTTTGAGTGCTTTGAGACCCATGTTGAAAAAAGAACTATCTTCACATAAAAACTAGTGAGAAGCTTGCTGAGGAACTACTTTCTGATATGTGCATTCATCTAACAGAGTTAAAACTTTCTTTTGATTGAGCAGTTTGGAAACAGTCTTTTTGTAGATTCTGCAAAGGTATATTTGGGAGTGCATTGAGGCCTATGTTCAAAAAGAAAATATCTTCACATAAAACTGAGAAGGAAGTTTTCTGAGAAACTTCTTTGTGATGTGCACATTCGTCTCACAGGGTTGAACCATTCTGTTTATTGAGCAGTTTCGAAACAGTCTTTTTGTAGAAACTGCAAAGGGCTATCTGCGAGTGCATTGAGGCTTATGGTGAAAAAGGAAATATCTTCACATTAAAAGTAGAAAGAAGTTTTCTGAGTAACTCTTTTCTGATATGTGCATTTATCACAGAGAAGTAAAAATTTCTTCCCATTGAGCAGTTAGTTTTTATGTGAAGATATTTCCGTTTTCACCATAGACCTCAAACCGCCTACATATATCCCTTTGCAGATTCTACAAAAATACTGTTTCCAAACTGCTCAATCAAAGAAAGCTTCCACTCTGCGAGATGAATACACACATCACAGAGAAGTTTCTCAGAAAATTTCTGTCTAGTTTTTATTTGTTGATATTCCCTTTTTCACCATAAGCCTCAAACCGCTCATGAATAACTCTTTGAAGATTCTACAAAAAGACTGTTTCCAAACTACTCAATCAAAGAAAGCTTCCACTCTGTGAGATAAATGCACACATCACAGAGAAGTTTCTCAGAAAGTTTCTGTCTAGTTTTTATTTGTTGATACTCCCTTTTTCACTGTAGACCTCAAACCGCTCATAAATAACCCTTTGCAGATTCTACAAAAAGACTGTTTCCAAACTACTCAGTCAAAAGAAAGCTTCTACTCTGTGAGGTGAATGCACACATCACAAAGAAGTTTCTCAGAAAGCTTCTGTCTAGTTTTTATTTGAAGATGTTTCCTTTTTCAATATAGGCCTCAAAGTGCTCACAAATGTCCCTTTACAGATTTTACAAAAAGACTGTTACCAAACTGCTCAACTGAAACAAAGCTTCAACTTTTTGAGATGAATGCACACATCACAAAGAAGTTTCTCAGAAAGCTTCCGTCCAGTTTTTATGTGAAGATATTTCCTTTTTCACCATAAGTCTCAAAGCATTCAAATTATCACTTTGCAGATTCTACAAAAAGACATTTTCCAACCTGCTCTATCTAAAGAAAGGTTTAACTCTGTGAGAAGAATGCACACATCAAAAATAAGTTTCTCAGAATGCTTCTGTCTAGTTTTTATCTGAAGACATTTCCTTTTTCACCATAGACCAAAAAGGGATCCCAAATATCCCTTTGTACATTCTACAAAGGACTGTTTCCAAACTGCTCAATCCAAAGACAGGTTCACCTTTTGGGATGAATGCACACATCACAACGAAGTTTCTCAGAAAGCTTCTGTCTCGTTTTTGTGTGAAGATATTAATTTTTCAACATAGGCTTCAAAGGGTTCACAAATATCGCAAAGCAGATTCTACAAAAAGACTCTATCCAAACTGGTCAAGGAAAAGAACACTTCAAATCTGTGAGATGAATGTGCACATCTCAAAGAATTTTCTCAGAAAGCTTCTGTCTAGTTTTCATGTGAAGATATTTCCGTTTTCACCATAGACCTGAAACCACCTATATATAACCCTTTGCAGATTCTACAAAAAGACTGTTTCCAAACTGCTCAATCAAAGAAAGCTTCTACTCTGTGAGATGAATGCACACATCACAGAGAAGTTTCTCAGAAAGTTTCTGTCTAGTTTTTATTTGTCGATACTCCCTTTTTCACCATAGGACTCAAACTGCTCATAAATAACCATTTGCAGATTCTACAAAAGGACTATTTCCAAACTGCTCAATGAAATGAAAGTTCAGCTGTGTGAGATGAATGCACACATCAAAAAGAAGTTTCTCAGACGTTTCTGTCTAGTTTTTATGTGAAGATACTTCTTTTTCACCATAAGCCTCAAAGCGTTCCCAAATTTTCCTTTGCAAATTCTATGAAAAGACTGTTTCCAAACTGCTCAATCAAAAGAAAGGTTCAACCCTGTGTGATGAATGCACACATCACAACGAAGTTTCTCAGAAGGCTTCTGTCTAGATTTTACTTGTGGATATTTCCTTTTTCACAATAGGCCTCAGAAAGCTCACAAATATCGCTTTGCATATTCTACAAATAGAGTGTTTCCAATCTGCTCAATGAAAGAAAATTCAACTCTGTGAGGTGAATGCATGCATTGCAAAGTGGTTTCTCAGAAAGCTTCTGTCTAGTTTTTATATGAAGATATTTCCTTTTTCATCACATGCCTCAAACCACTCAAAAACATGCCTTTGCAGGTTCTCCAAAAAGACTGTTTCCAAAGTGCTCAATCAAAAGAAAGATTCAAGTCTTTGAGATGCATACCCCCATCACAAAGAAGTTTCCGAGAAAACATGAGTTTAGTTTTTATGTGAAGATATTTCCTTTTTCACCATAAGCCTCAAAGCGTTCACAAATATCACTTTGCAGGTTCTACGAGAAGACTGTTTCCAAACTGATCAATCAAAGGAAGTTTCAACCCTGTGAGATGAATGCATACATCACAAAGAAGTTCTTCAGAAAGCTGCTGTATACATTTTATTTTTCGACATTTCCTTTTTCACCATTGGATTCAAACCACTGAAACATATCACTTTGCAGATTCTACAAAAAGACTGTTTCCAAACTGCCCAATCAAAAGAAAGGTTCAACTCTGTGAGATGAATGCACACATCACAAAGAAGTTTCACAGGTAGCTCTTATTATTTTGAGATACGTCCCATCAATACCTAATTTATTGAGAGTTTTTATCATGAAGGGTTGTTGAATTTTGTAAAGGCCTTTTCTGCATCTATTGAGATAATCATGTGGTTTTTGTCTTTGGTTCTGTTTATATGCTGGATTGCACTTATTGATTTGCGTATATTGAACCAGCCTTGCATCCCAGGGATGAAGTCCACTTGATCATGTTGGATAAGCTTTTTGATGTGCTGCTGGATTCGGTTTGCCAGTATTTTATTGAGGATTTTTGCATCAATGTTCATCAAGGATATTGGTCTAAAATTCTCTTTTTTCGTTGTGTCTCTGCCCGGCTTAGGTATCAGGATGGTGTTGGCTTCATAAAATGAGTTAGGGAGGATTCCCTCTTTTTCTATTGATTGGAATAGTTTCAGAAGGAATGGTACCAGTTCCTCCTTTTACCTCTGGTAGAATTCGGCTGTGAATCCATCTGATCCTGGACTCTTTTAGGTTGGTAAGCTATTGATTATTGCCACAATTTCAGAGCCTGTTATTGGTCTATTCAGAAATTCAACTTCTTCCTGGTTTAGTCTTGAGAGGGTGTATATGTCGAAGAATTTATCCATTTCTTCTAGATTTTCTAGTTTATTTGCATAGAGGTGCTTGTAGTATTCTCTGATGGTAGTTTGAATTTCTGTGGGATCAGTGGTCATATCCCCCTTATCATTTTTTATTGCATCTATTTGATTCTTCTCTTTTTTCTTTTTTGTTAGTCTTGCTAGTGGTCTATCAATTTTGTTGATCCTTTCAAAAAACCAGCTCCTGGATTCATTAATTTTTTGAAGGATTTTTTGTGTCTCTATTTCTTTCAGTTCTGCTCTGATTTTAGTTATTTCTTGCCTTCTCCTAGCTTTTGAATGTGTTTGCTCTTGCTTTTCTAGTTCTTTTAATTGTGATGTTAGGGTGTCAATTTTGGATCTTTCTTGCTTTCTCTTGTGGGCATTTAGTGCTACAAATTTCCCTCTAAACACCGTTTTGAATGTGTCCCAGAGATTCTGGTATGTTGTGTCTTTGTTCTCGTTGGTTTCATGCTGCTGTAAAGACACATGCACATGTATGTTTATTGTGGCACTATTCACAATAGCAAAGACTTGGAACCAACCCAAATGTCCAACAATGATAGACTGGATTAAGAAAATGTGGCACATATACACTATGGAATACTATGGAGCCATAAAAATGATGAGTTCATGTCCTTTGTAGGGACATGGATGAAATTGGAAATCATCATTCTCAGTAAACTATCACAAGGGCAAAAAATCAAACACCACATGTTCTCACTCATAGGTGAGATTTGAACAGTGAGAACACATGGACACAGGAAGGGGAAAATCACACTCTGGGGACTGTTGTGGTGTTGGGGGAGTGGGGAGGGATAGCATTAGGAGATATACCTAATGCTAAATGATGAGTTAATGGGTACATGACACCAGTGTGGCACATGTATACATATGTAACTAACTTGCACATTGTGCACATGTACCCTAAAACTTAAAGTATAATAAGAATAAAATAAAATAAAATAAAAAGAAAGTGCACATCACAAAGAAGTTTCTCAGAAAGTTTCTTTCTAGTTTTTATGTGAAGATATTTCCTTTTTCACCATAGTCCACAAAGTGCACCAAATATCTTTTGCAGATTGTACAAAAAGAGTTTTTCCAAACTGCTCAATCAAAAGAAAGATTCAACTCTGTGAGATGAAAGCACAAATCATAAAGAAGTTACTCGAATGCTTCTGTCTAGTTTTTAAGTGAAGGTATTTCCTGTTACACCATAGGCCTCAAAGGGCTCACAAATATCCTTTTGCTGTTTCTACAAAAAGACTGTTACAGAACTGTTCAATGAAAAGTAAGTTTCAACTCTGTGAGATGAATTCACACCTAAAAAAGAAGTTTCTCAGAATGCTTCTGTCTAGTTTTTATGTGAAGATATTTCTTTGTCACCATAGGCCTCAAACTGCTCAGAAATGTCCCTATGCAGATGTTACAAAAAGACTGTTTCCAAACTGCTCAATGAAAAGAAAAATTCTACTCTGTGAGATGAAAGCACATATCACAAAGAATTTTCTCAGAAAGTTTTTGTTTAGCTTATATGTGAAGATATTTCCTCTTTCAGCATAGGCCTCAATGGGCTCAAAAATATCTCTTTTAAGATACTTCAAAAGGACTCTTTCCAAACTGCTCAATCAAAAGAAAGTTTCAACTCTGTGAGATGAAAGTACACATCACAAATAAGTTTCTCAGACTGTTTGTCTAGTTTTTATGTGAAGATATTTCCTGTTTCACCATAGGCCATAAAGTTCTCACAAATATCCCTTTGCGGACTCTACAAAAAGACAGTTTGCAAACAGCTCAATCAAAAACAAAGGTTCACCTATGTGAGATGAATGGACACATCACAAAGAAGTTTCTCAGAAGGCTTCTGCCTAGTTTTTATGTGAAGGTATGTCTTTTTCACCATAGGCCTCAAATGGCTAAGAAATATCCCTTTGAAGATTGCACAAAAAGACTGTTTCCAAATTGTTCAATGAAAAGACAGGTTCAACTCTGTGAGATGAATGCGCACATCATAAAGAAGTTTCTCAGTATCTTTCTGTCTAGTTTTTATGTGAAGATATTTCCTTTTTCACCATAGGCTTTAAATGGCTCCCAAATATCCCTCTGCAGATACTACAAAAAGACTGCTTGAAAACTGTTCAATCAAAGGAAACTTTCATCTCTGTGAAATGAATGTACACATCACAAAGAAGTTCCTCAGAATGGTTCTGTCCAGTTCTTGCGTGAAGATATTTCCTTTTTCACAACAGGCCTCAAAGTGCTCCAAATATCCATTTGCAGATTCTACAAAAAGACTATTTCCAAACAGCTACATGAAAAGAAAGGTTCAACTCTGTGAGGTAAATGCACACATGAAAAAGAAGTTTCTCAGAATGCTTCTGTATAGTTTTTATCTGACATATTTATTTTTCACCATAGGCCTCAAATGGTTCAGAAATAACCCTTTGCATATTGTACAAAAAGACTGTTTCCAAACTGTCAAATGCAAAGAAAGGTTCAACTCTGTGAGATGAATGCAAACAGCACAAAGAAGTTTCTCAGAAAGTATCTGTCTAGTTTTTATGTGAAGATAATTCCTTCTTCACAATAGGCCTCAAAGTGCTCCAAATATCCATTTACAGACTCCACAAAAAGACTATTTCCAAACGACTCAATCACAAAAAAAGTTCAACTCTGTGAGATGAATGCGCACACATAAATAAGTTTCTCAGAATGCTTCTGTCTAGTTTTGATGTGAAGATATTTCCTTTTTCACCATAGGCCTTAAACAGCTCCCAAATATCCCTCTGCAGATACAACAAAAAGGCTGCTTGAAAACTGTTCAATCAAAGGAAACCTTCATCTCTGTGAGATGAAACCACACATCACAAAGAAGTTCTTCATAATGCTTCTGTCTGGTTATTATGTGAAGATATTTCATATTTCACCATAGGCCTCAAAGAGCTCACAAATATCCCATTGCAGACTCTACAAAAAGATTGTTTTCAAACTGCTCCATGCAAAGAAAGGTTCAACCCTGTGAGAAAACTGCAAACATAAAAAAGAAGTTTCTCAGAATTCTTCTGTCTAGTTTTTATGTGAAGATATTCCTTTTTCACCATAGGCACCAAACCGTTCAGAAATATCCCTTTGTAGACTGTACAAAAAGACTGTTTCCAAACTGTTCAATCAAAAGAAAGTTTCAAACCTGTTAGATGAAAGCACACATCACAAAGAAGTTTCTCAGAATGCTTCTGTCTAGTTTTTATGTGAAGATATTTCTTTTTCACCATAGGCCTCAAACCCCTCAGAAATATCCCTTTGCAGATTGTAGATAAAGACAATTTCCTAACTACTCAATCAAAAGAACAGTTCTACTCTGTGAGATGAAAGCACACATCACAAAGAAGTTTCTCAGAAATCTTCTGTCTAGTATTTATGTGAAGATATTTCCCTTCTAACGATAGGCCTCAAAGCAATCCAATTATCGATTTGCGGATTCTACAAAACACTGTTTCCAAACTGCTCAATCAAAAGAAATTTTCAACTCTGTGAGATGAAAGCACACATCACAAAGAAGTTCTTCAGAAAGCTTCTCACTAGATTTTATGTGAAGATATTTAGTTTTTCACCACAAGCCACAAAGTGCTCCAAATATCCTTTTGCAGATACTTCAAAAAGAGTTTTTCTGAACTGCTCAATCAAAAGAAAGTTTCAACTCTGTGGATGAATGCAAACATCACAAAGAAGTTTCTCAGAATGCTTCTGTCTGGTTTTCCTGTGAAGATATTTCCCATTTCACCGTGGGCCTCAGTGGGCTCACATATATCCTTTTCCAAATTCTACAAAAAGACTGTTTCTGAATTTCTCAATGAAAAGAAAGGTTCAACTCTGGGAGATGAATGCACACATGAATAAGAAGTTTCTCAGAATGCCTCTGTCTAGTTTTTGTGTTAAGATATTTGTTTTTCACCATAGGCCTCAAACTGCTCAGAAATATCCCTTTGCAGATTGTACAAAAAGATGGTTTCCAAACTGCTCAATGAAAACAAAGGTTCAACACTGTGACATGAATACTCACATCACAGAGAAGTTTTTCAGAAAGTTTCTGTTTAGTTTTTAAGTGAAAATATTTCCTTTTTCACCATAGGCCTCAAAGCAATCCAAATATCTTTTGCAAACTCTACAAAAAGAGAGTTTCCAAACTGTTCAATTAAAAGAAAGATTCAAATCTGTGAGAAGAAAGCACACATCATGAAGAAGTTTCTCATAATGCTTCTGTCTACTTTTTTGTGAAGATATTTCCTATATCACCATAGGCCTCAAAGTTCTCACAAATATCCCTTTGCAGACTCTACAAAAAGACAGTTTTTGAACTGCTAAATGAAAAGAAAGGTTCAACTCTGTGAGATGAATGCACACATAATAAATTAGTTTATCATAATGCTTCTGTCTAGTTTTTATATGAAGATATTTCTCTCTCAATGGGCCTCAAATGGCTCAGAAATATCCCTTTGCAGATTGTACAAAAAGAATGTTTCCAAACTGCTCAATCAAAAGAAAGGTTCAAACCGGTGAGATGAATGCACACATAAAAGAGGAGTTTCTCAGAAATCTTCTGTCTTGTTTTTATGTGAAGATATTACCTTTCTCAACATAGGCCTCAAAGCAATCCAAACATCCATTTGCAGATTCTACAAAAAGACTGTTTCCAAACTGTTCAATCAAAAAAATTTTTTACCTCTCTGAGATGAAAGCACACATCACAAAAATGTTACTCAGATAGCTTCTCTCTAGTATGTATGTGAAGATACTTCCTATTTCACCTGAGGCCATAAAGGGCTCACAAATATCCCTTTGAAGGTTTTACAAAAAGACTGTTTCCAAACTGCTCAATCAAAAGAAAGGTTCAACTCTGTGAGATGAATGGACACATCACAAAGAAATTTCTCGGAATGATTCTGTCTAGTTTTTATGTGAAGATATTTCTCTTTCACCATAGGCCTCAAACGGATCAGAATTATCCCTTTGCAGATTGTACAATAAGCCTCTTTCCAACCTGCTCAATCAAAGGAAAGGTTCAACTCTGTGAGATGAATGCACACATCACAAGAAAGTTTCTCAGAAAACTTCTGTTTAGTTTTTATGTGAAGTTATTTCGTTTTTCACCATGGGCCTCAGAAGCTCTCCAAATATTCACTTGCAGATTTTAGAAAAAGAGTGTTTCCAAACTCCTCACTCAAAAGAAAGTTTCAATTCTGTGAGATGAAAGCACACATCACAAAGAAGATTCTTAGAAAGCTTCTGTCTAGTTTTTATGTGAAGATATTTCACATTGCACCATAGTACTCAATGGGCTCAGAAATATCCCTTTGCAGATTCTACAAGAGGACTGTTTCCAAACTGCTCAATCCAAAGACAGTTTCAACTATGTGAGATGAATGCATACATCACAAAGAAGTTTCTCAGACTGCTTCTGTCTAGTTTATATGTGAAGAAAATTCCTATTTCACCATAGGCAATAAAGGGCTCACAAATATTTTTTGCAGATTCTACAAAAAGACTCTATCCAAACTGCTCAATAAAAAGAAAGTTTCAACTCTGTTAGATTAATGGACACATCAAAAAGTAGTTTCTCAGAAAACTTCTGTTTAGTTTTTACATGAAGATATATCCTTTGTCACCATTGGCCTCAAAGTGCTCCTAATATCCATTTACAGATTTCACAAAAAAAGTGTTTCTAAACTGCTCAATCAAAAGAAAGTTTTAACTCTGTGAGATGAAAGCACACATTTCAAAGAAATTTCTCAGAAAGCTTTGGTCTAGTTTTCATGTGAAGATATTTCCAGTTTCACCATAGGCCTCAAAGGGCTAAGAAATATCCCTTTCCAAATTCTAAAAGACGAACATTTCCATACTGCTCAATCAAAAGAAAGGTTAAATTCTGTGAGGTGAATGCACACATCAGAATGAAGTTTCTCAGAATTC